>NC_000003.12:128099513-128251028 GCF_000001405.40 Homo sapiens | reverse complement strand
GAAAATAATTCCTTTACAATGGCCTCTAAAAGAATCCAATACTTAGGAATAAATCGAAGAGACAAAAGCCTTGTACGCTAAAAACTACAAAACATTGCTAAAAAAAAAAAAAAAAAACCAAAAAAAACTAAAGATGACTTAAACAAAAACATATCCTATGGTTCATGGATTAGAAGATTTAATGCTGTTAAGATGTCAATACTACCCAAAGAGATCTACAGATTCAATGCAATACCTATCAAAATTCCAACAACCTTTCCACAGAAATGGAAAAGCAGATTCTCAAATTCATGTGGAACTGCAAGGAGCACCAGATAGCCAAAACAATCTTGAAAAAGAACAAAGAGAGAAGAGTCATACTTTCTGACTTTGAAACTTAATACAAAACTACAGACATCAAAGCAGTGTGGCACTAGCCTAAGGACAGACATATAGACCAATGGAATAGAACAGAAAGCCTAGAAATAAACCCACACATATATGGTCAATCGATTTTTTACAAAGTTAAAAGGGGAAAAGACAATCTTTTCAACAAAAGTGCCTGGAAAACTGGATATCCACATGCAAAATAATGAAGGTGAACCCTTAACTTACATCATATACAAAAATTAACTCAAAATGATCAAAGACCTAAACTTAAGAGCTAAAGCTACAAAATTCTTAGAAAAAAACACTGGATAAAAATCTTCATGACACAGGATTCGGCAACAGTTTCATGGATATGACTCCAAAAGCACAGGCAATTAAAAAAAATGATAAACTAGACTTCATCCAAATTAGGAAGTTTTGTGTATCAAAGGACACTATCAACGAAGTGAAAAGACAATCTACAAAACAGGAGAAGATATTTGCAAATCATATCTCTGACAAGGGATTAATGTCCAGAATACATAAATAACTATTACAATTCAACAACAACAACAACAGAAAACAACCCAACCTAAAAATGTACAAAGGACTTGAATAGATATTTCTCAAAAAAAGATACACAAATGGCCATTAAACCATGAAAAGATGCTCAATATCATTAGTAACTAGGGAAATGCAAATGAAAACTATGATGATATACCACTTCATACCTCCTAGGATGTACTGAGAGGAATTGAAAGCAGAAAATTGAATAAATAGCTATACATCCATGTTCATAGCAGCATTATTCACAGTAGCCAGGAAGCAACCCAAGTGTCTACCAACAGAAGAATGGATAAATAAAATGTGGTATATAGACATAATAAAACACTATGCAACCACAAAAAGGAGTGAAATTCTGACACATGTTACAATAAGGATGGACCTTAAAAACATTATGCTAAGTGAAATAATCCAGACACAAAAGGCCAAATAGTATATTATTCCACTGATAAAAGGTATCTAGAACAGGCAAATTCATAGAGATGAGAAGCAGAATAGAGGTTGCCAGGGTGGGAGGAAGGGAGAAAGGGGAGTTATTGCTTAATGGCTACAGAGTTTATGTTGGGGGTCATGAAAAAGTTTGGGGTATATATAGTGGGGACAGGTACACAGCACTGTGAATGTACTTGATAGCTCTGAATTATACACTTACATGTGGCTAAAATGATAAACATTATGTTATATGTATTTTACCACAATAAAAAAAATGTGGAAGAAAAAGTGGGGGCAATACTACACATAGTTAAAAAGAAAAAAGAAATGAAAAAATCCAAAAGTGCCAGCAGCTGCCATTTGAGAAAAGAAATCTTTGGGTGGGCTCTTCTTTCTTTTAACTACTTTTCTCTATTTTCCAAGTTTTCTTTCAGTTACTCTTTGGACAGAAAAAAATACATTTAATGTTTTGAACACTTTTTTGGTTTTGATAGGTACATGGTTCACCAGTCCACATTTTCCCTTTATAGACAGAAAGTTTCTTTGCATCTGGACTGGCATTTATGAAGGGTTTACTTAACAAGGGAACATAAGAAAATGAAATAGTCACTTAAAATCATTTAAAGAAGTTCTTTGCTTCATGGAGGTAAAAGCTAATGTTCAGCAGGTCACATGCCCACTGATTACAACCCCTCAGGGTGACAGTCCTCTCCTTTCCCTACCAGCCTGCTGGTGCTGGATGAGGGCAGGAGGGGCTTCCAAGGACCCTCAGATGGACAATTTCCTCTGGATGTGTGATAAAGTCCATAATTTGATCTTCAATCAATACACTAAAATAGAAATAGTAATTTTCACAAGCAAATGAGAATTTTCCTTAAATTTAATCAAAACTATTACTATTAATTAACCCTTAAACGTACCCTAAGCCCTTCCCTGAAGGTCCCATTTCTATAGTAAATGATACTGAGGTTGTATCTGAGTACTGAGGTTGTACTGGGTTTTTTTGCGGGAGTCCAAAAGACCTGTTCTTCCTTTTCTGACAAGTAAATAAAACGACAGGGAGATCAAATAACTCACTAAAAAGAAGATATAATTTTTTATCTTCCTTTTTACAGTCTCATATCCACTTCCGCTGGGAATAACAAAGTCTGAATTCTTATGCAACACTTATCTAAATGTGTCGATTTTATCGGATTGATGAATTTTGCTAACAAAAGGCAGCGCTAGAAAATCTTTTATGACATATTTGGCCCATTCACAGAGCTGGAGCTTTAATTTAACCAACTTGAGAATTCTGAGGGAGAGCTGCAGGTGTTGGATCTGAAAAAAACATCATAAATGGGAAGGCATATCAATCTTTATGACAGGGAAACAAAAACGCTCTCTACTTGCTTGCCCTCCATGGGCAGAAGAAGGAGAGGTGGAAGTGGCAGGATATTGTCTCAGGCTGCATAGCAAAGAGGAAGCATCCCTGTCTCCCAGTGACCGCTATTTAGTATTGATCAAAAGGGACTGGCCTAGAGAGGAAGAGAGAAATTGATAAAACAATGAGGTCTGTCAACACTGTGCTCAACAAGGACATTTTCTCATTTTCTTGACCACATCAGAATTAGTCATTCCTGTGGCCGCCTGAGCAACCAGGTGGCTTTCTGTCTCACAGTCCCCCTGTGCCTCCCGCACCCCTGCCCTTCTAGGTAGCACTGCCAGCTTTCTTCCACACTTACTGTGATCCAGGCGAATTGCTTCACCAGGGCTGTGGATTCTCCCGCTAGATATCTCCCCAAGCCACCTCCTCCCTCCATGCTCTGCCTCAACTCAGAGCAACACCTTCTCTCCCTGGTAAAACCACTACAGTTCAGTAGCCTCTGCTGCTCCTTCTCCTTCTCCTCCTTCTCCTCTCTGCTGCCTCCTGGGTCCTCCTCACCATGCCAGCCTTCCACCTGCAGCCAGTGATCTCCTAATGAAAAACCTCATCTAGCCACCCCTTGCATAAAATTCCTTAATAACTTCCTACTTTCCACAAGATAAAACTGTAAACTCCTTGGCAGAAGATGCTAAAAAGGTCCTTTGTGATTTGGTGTTTCCTAGTCTGGCTTCCAGCAGCAACAACCATCTGTCGGTCTGTCCACCCAATCTTACAAGCTTCTGTAACAGAAACAACCAGTCATCTACCAAAATTGATCTTCCCCTTTTGATAATCGAGTTGTAGAGAAGCAGATAGCAAGAGAACACAGTCCTAGCCTCTCTTGCACCAAAGTATGGCCAATATATGTAGGCGGGACTAAGTTTTTATCAAGACAAGCTAAGTAGAAAGGATCTGAACCCTTGCCAGTCCAGGCCTTGCACACTGGGCACAGAGTCCCTGTGCTCCTTCTCCTTCCTGTGAGCTGAGACACAGAAGGGCTTGTGCCTCATCAAATTCTAGTTTCTTTATGCTCCTGTGGTTTTTGGCCTCTTTTAAAAACACGTTAGCCTTTACCTCATTTAATGCAGCCCTTATGTGAGCAAATGCCAGGTTGAGATCTCACTTACTAGGACGGGAGGCTGACACCTGCCTGTCCAATTCATGTTTGTGAAATGAACATGGGAGGCCCCAGAAGCCTTCTTATGCAGTGAACATTGCTCTCATTAGCAGACCTACTTGGTGTTCTCTAGGGTCTTCTGCATTTTCTTGGTCATTTTATCAATTGCTGCCTGTCTCTTTCCTTCAGGTAAGAGGTCTATTTTGTTCAGCACCACGACCAGCTTCTGGCAGGCAATCTGGCCGATCACAAGGCATTCCGCTGACTGGGTCTGCATCCCCTTGGTCACATCGATGACCAGCATCATCAGATCAATGATCTGGGCCCCTGGAATAAGAGAAGAGAAGGTTAGAAAGGGAAAAGGGGTGGTGAGCCCCACAGAAAGTTGCCCAATGCCCCAGGTCAAAGCACTGCAGTAAAAGTGAGCAAAGTGGAATAAATGGTGACTACACAGCTTCTGGCTACAGGCCCTGTGCTAGGCACTTGGACCTGAAGCTTCAGAACTGCCATGGCAGATGAGGAAACTGAGGTCCACAAAACACAGAGAGCTTGCCCAGGATCGCACTGCTAACACGCAATAGGGCTGGGTTTAGGTATAGGCTCATCTAACTCCAAAACCCGTGCCTTTCTATTGCACCAATCCTATCACTTTCATTCCATTTGACAGAGGAAGAAATGTCTCAGCAGGGGGAAAAAAAAAAGTTTCGTACTAGGCTTGGCAAATGGCTAGATACTTGCCCTTGCTAAGAAATGAGAGAAGACTGAGAAAGTAGAGGAGGCAGAAGGGGGAGGATTAGGGAGTGGACAGCATCTTTTCCTCACAGTGCTACGGCTCAGTCCTATTCCTTCTGGGGTGTTAGGAGCATCTAAGGTTCTGTGTCATAATCGCTAAGTACTGAACATTTGTGTGCGTGTGTGTGTGTGTGTGTGTGCGTGCACGCTTGTGAGCATCATCCTACTGTACAGCACACCTGAGCTGAACAACAGCAGGTAGACAGACAAGTTACAGAAAGTGAATGAAGGGAAACTGCTATAAATCATGTCAGGAACATAATGTTAGCCAGTGAAGTGACTGTTTCCTTTTTAACGGGATTTGGAGTCATTTCAACAAGAAGCGTGTAACTTCGTACTGCAGGAATATACAAACATTTTCCCTATTAAAATGAAGAATAATTACATTTTGAGCTTATAAGAATGCCCATGAAGCATTTCTCGGGATCGGATTATGGTCATTGGCAATGCAGAGGAGACTGCTCTGTGAATGACTCTGATGATGCTGATTCTATCCCACTGCTGGGGATAGAGGGAAGGCATGGAGGAGGGAGGGCCTTTCTTTTTTCGGGCACTCTGACTACGCACACTAGGTCAGCTTACTTAATCTCCAGTAAACTTATGTTTCAGATGAAGAAACGGAGACTCACAGACATGGGTCTAGGTCATGTGCTCTAGATCACACAGCCAACTAGTATCGAAGACACTAGAAATCAGGGCTCCTGACACCACTGCTGAAGAATTCTTCCCACTGTTCCAAGAGGCCTCTTGGTCACCCCTGTCCTGTGACACTCCTCTGGCCTCCCACAGAACGGTGTGTCTCTCTGACTTCAGGTAGACCTAGGCATGCCCCAACCCTCCTGTCTCCCACTCTGCTTCTCCCTGTCCAGCCTCCTCTCCTCATCCTGCCAGCTGGGGCCACAGGGCTAGGCTCAGGTGCACGCAGCAGCAGCAGCAGCATCTCCTCTGCCAGGTCAAGGGGCAGGAGGGCCCAGGTCTCTGCTACAGCCACAGAGGGGATGGACACTGACTCTATCATCTACCGTGAACAGAACAGACTATTAAAAACAGGCTCGACTCATCTGATAGACTCCCTCTCATAGCTACTGAATTACCAACTCTCCTCTGGACTCTTTCTCTGTTCCAGCTCCAGTTCCCATAGCCCATGGCAGGCTCATGTTGGCTAGTCCCTAATGGGCTGCTGCAGCTCAGATGTGGCCCTCCAAACTCCATCCTCCAAACAGCCTTCCCAAAGGCACTTTCTAAAAATATATCACTGATTCATATACTGCTGGGCAGGAGCGGGGGTCGGGGGTTAACTGGTATAACCTCTGCAGAGGCACATAATCTTTGACCCAGCCAAGCAGCATGTTTGTTACAGCTAATGCTGGAAACTAGGTAAATGTCCATCAGCAGGGGACAGGTTGAAAATAAGAATATAATGCTATAATGCCATGACAGAATACTATACACCCATTTAAAAGAATGAAGAAGCTCTTTATCTACCACTATGGAATGATATCCGAGGCGGAGTGAGTGAGAAGGGCAAGGCACAATGTGCAGAGTGTGATTTGTGTTGAAAAGGGGATAAGGTATACGTGTGTGTGTATGTGTGTGCACGTGTGTGGGTGTCACATACTGCATAAGTATTTGCTTCGACACACATAAAATATCTCTGAGGGAATGCAAAAGAAACTAATGACTTGGTTGTCTGCTGGGAGACCAAAGATGAGTAGGAAGGAAATTCTCTGTACATTCTTCGGTTCCTTTTCATTTTAAACAGGGATGTGTAGTATCTGTTCTAAAATAAAATTATAATTTTAAGTGCATAAATAAATAAATAATACAATAAAACACAGACCTGACCATGCCCTTCTCATGCTAAGAGCCCCACTGTCCACTGGAAAAAAAAAAAAAAAAGACTCCCCAATGTGGCTGTGGGAGGCTCCCTGTTTTTTAACTACCAGTTGCTTCCCACTCACCTTGTGCCAAGCACCATGCTGTGTGCTCCACAAACCCTTTCCTGGGCTTTTCGCCCTCTCTCCATGGCCCCATGACACTCATGCCTCCCTCACACAAGCTGAGCCCAAGCCTTCCCTACCCAGAAGATACACCCAACTGTCTTCCGGGTCCTAACCATCAGTAAATCTGGGAACTGGCCACAGGGCTGTGAGACTGGGTCTTGAGGCAGGATGAGATAAAGCCCAGCAGGGAACAAGGAGGGAGGAACACGTTGGGGGCCCAGCCTATTTTCCAGTCTCCACCTTCACAGCAGAATGGATCCTGCACTGGCCCCACAGGCCTCCCTCTCCGGTGGGTGAAGCTGTGCCCACAGAACCAAGGCCACTCAACCTCATGCGTTCCTTAAGGACTTCTCCAGAGTAATTCTGACTATCCAAGTTCCCTCTAGAACTTAAACACCTGCCACTACCTAGCCCCTAATTTACAGATGAGGAAGTCGAGGCTTTAGGGAAGTCCGTTGACTGCTCATGGTTATACAGCAGGTAGGTGGCAGAGAAGAGATCTGAACCCTGGTGCCCAGGTTCTTAACTCCCACGCCACACAGCCCGCCCTGCCCAGTGGGGACCCAGCCCACAATTTCTCCCCCTCCCCCCATCAACTCTCCCACTTCCCATCTAAAGATCAAGGTAGGACCCAGGTGGACTCTCGCCCCTTTCCCTTCCTTGCCTTTGCCCCTGCTCCTGCTTTGCCCAGAACACCTGCCCCAGGTTCACTTGCCCCTGATCCTTGATGCCCCACCCGGCTCCATGCTGAGGGTTCATAACCAAGGCCTGGGTTTTCAATCTGTATTCACAGCACAAGACCCAGCTTGGGCACAGCTTAATACATCGTTGCTGGACTAATGCAGCAAATGTCCATATCCCTGCCTCTTCTACTTTATTCACCAGGAATCTGTTCCTCTTCTTCAACAGTCGATTTCCTATTGGTATACACAACTATCCAGTCAACTATCCAGTAGGGGAATGACTCATGTGCTCCACGCATCAGGCCCTCTTGCTTCTCACGCCTATTGAGATCCTGTGGATGGGAAATGAAACTGATTGACAGACCCAGAAAACTAAGCATAGATAGGACCCAAACACTCAGGAGCCAGTTGGGATTTCATCTGCAGCCTGATCCAGCATCCAAAAGCCGTCTTTGTTCCAAAAGGCCAGGCTCTTGAGCGGACCCCGTGCAGCGCAGCCAGCACCAGGGACTTCTAAGGAGCCCAGAGGTCAGAGGGACTTGACTGGCCACACTGGGAACCAGACTAGCACTGGAAACCCGGGGTCATCACCAGGCAACTGCCTGCTGCCTGGCAGCAGCTCTCAGTTACTTTCTTTTCTTCATCAAACTTTTGATCAGACGACAGGAAGTGACACAACTGGCCCGTCTTGCCTTTTTCAAAATCCCTAGTAGTTTCATAGAATGAATCAAACAGTGTCCTTCCCAATTCCCATGAACCCAGGGTAGAAAATCGCTCTGAGACTAGAGGGACATAGCGAGTGAGTGGGTGGGAAACACAAGACAAAAAAATCAAGGCTTATAAATGATCCTCTATATTTCCCAATCTATCAGAGTTTTTCATCTAGTTGTACTGACTATAGTATCCTTAAAAGATTTGCAGAATAATTATAATAGGGTTAAAGTTTCTCAGTACATTTAAAAATTACAATTTCCAATTCTGTAAATTATATATCTTAATCATTTCAAAAATAATGAAAAACTTACAAGGGTCAGCATTTAACAAAGCATAAGTTATCTGTGAGGTGTAATTTTCCTTTTGGGACTGAAGGAATAAAATATGTTCAGAAAAAAATATTTCAGCTGGAGAAACTTAACATTATACTTTGAACATATTTTAGCAACCTCAAAATCAGATTTTTTTTTAAAAAAGTCAAAGCTATGGGCATTATAAGAAGGAGAAAAAATGTTACATTTAAAATAAAGAAAAAAAAATTTATTTCCAACTTATATTTTAAGTTCAGGGGTACATGTGCAGGATGACCAGGTTTGTTATGTAGGTAAATGTGTGCCATTATTTGTTATTTATTTATTTATTTTTTTAATTTTAGAGGCAGGGTCTTACTGTTGCCCAGGCTGGAGTGCAGTGGTGCAATCATAGCTCACTGCAGCCTTGAATTCCTGGGCTCAAACGATCCTCCTGTCCTAGCCTCCCAAGTAGCTGGGACTACAGGTGCATGCCACCATACCCAGCTTATTTTTAAAATTTTTTTGTAGAGGTGGAGTCTTGCTATGTTGCCCAGGCTGGTCTCGAACTCCTGGCCTCAATAGATCCTCCCACCTCAGCTCCCAAAGTGCTACTAGGATTACGGGCGTGAGCCACTGTGCCTGGCCAAAATTTGTTTTTGACTGGTGACTTTTTAAATATTCATTGAACAATGTAAATACATTTTATCAACAATATAAAACTGCAGTGGCAATTAATATCCTACTATTATTATGACCATTTGCCAAATACATTAACTCTCTCTGTGCCTCAGGCTCCTCATCTTATACAAGGACGATGATACTGCCTATGTTATTGGATTGCACTGAAGATTCAATGAGATCAGATATGTAAACAATTTAGAACAGTGCCTAGACATATGAAATCCTCAATTATATTAGCTGTTACCACGGTTTTCACTTCTACATCTGCTATTATGACATGCACAGTGGTGGTCTACATGTCTTCATCTCCTCTTACCTACATCTCAACACCAACTCTGCAATGTGGGTATTACAAATGGGAAAACAGGCTGGGTCTGTAACCCCAGCACTTTGGGAGGCTAAAGTGGGCAGATCACTTGAGCTCAGGAGTTCAAGACCAGCCTAGGCAACATAGTGAAACCCCGTCTCTACAAAAATACAAAAATTGGTTCAGCGTGGTGGCACACGTTTGTAATCCCAGCACTTTGGGAGGCTGAGGTGTGTGAATCACTTGAGCTCAGGAGTTTGAGACCAGCATGGGGCAACATGGTGAAACCCTGTCTCTATACAAAATACAAAAATTAGCTAGGCATAGTGGTGCATGCCTGTAATCCCACCTACTTGGGAGGCTAAGGTAGGATAATCACCTAAGCCCAGAGAGGTCAAGGCTGCAGGTCAAGGCCTGATTACACCACTGTACTCCAGCCTGGGTGACAGAGTGAGACCCTGTCTCAAAAAAAAAAAAAAAAAAAAAAAGAGAGAGAGAGAGAGGACAAAGGCTTAGAGAGGTGAAGTAACCAAGTCAGGTCAAGGAGCAAGGATTCAGAGGGATTTGAACTCAGTCTACTGATTTTGCTCTACAACAGTACCCTGAAACTCTGAGCAGCAAGATCTTATGTCCAGAATAAAACAATTGCTCTGTACAAGCCCCCTGCGGGTGTTCCAGGACAAAACGGGCAGGTTTCAGAGGTCCCCAACTCAGAACACAGCTTCTCAGACTCCAGGGCGAGAGCCTTATATTATTATTTGCAGCTGTTTTTATTCATTTATTCAATGTATTGCCTATCTCCTCATTATACAGGTAAGAAGACTGAGGCTGAGACAGGTTAAATAACTTGCCCAAAGCCACCCAACTAGGGGCAAGAACCCAGGACTGATCAGGCTCCATCCAACACAGGTTGCAGCTGTCCCAACCCTGACTCTCTGCCAAGGGCAGGGGATGGGAAGGCAGCAAGACTTCAGTCACATTGCAGCCCATTCTGCAGAGAGAGCAAGGAGAAAATCAGTTTTAAGGAGAATTAGTTTTCCTCCTTCTGCAGTTTTCCTGAAACAGGGTAAGCCTGGACTTTCCCTCTCAAATTCCTACTGGTACCAGGAAGGTGTGGGACTAACCAGCAGTGTCCAGCCTGTCCTCCTCAGCACAGGCTCAGAGGATTTGGAAATGGAAGGGGCTTAAACAAGAGGGTCATTTTAAAGACCAAGGAAACAAGGACCACAAATAAGAGGAAGTGGCAAGAGCAGGGCTTGGAGGTCCCCAAGCTTGGATATGTTCAAATCACAACCTTACCAGGAGCTTCAATTTCCTCATCCACAATCAGGACCTAAACAAAGATGTCTCCTGCAGAAGATTAGGAGAGACTCAGCCCTAAGCACCCTCAGTAAGCAGGAGCTGGTACTAACAGCTGTGAGCACTGAACCTGGGCCCCATCACTCTTGGTCGAACTGTAACAAGGCCTGCTGTCCCCACTAGTCCAGGCAGACCCCAGGCAAACACAAGTGGACAAAGCCTGCTGATGGAGTTGGGGAAGGGGAAAGGGGAGGAGAGAAGGAGGGCGGTCACGACCAGGCCCTGCACAGTGCCTGTGACCTAGCACCCACCTGGGCACAGGGCAGCATGCCACACTCATGCACTCTCTCTCAGCCTTTCTGCTTAGCCCTCTCACTGAAGCCAAACATTCATGCTGCCCATGCTGCTAACAACCACCAGGTTACTCCATCGACTGCAGGAGGTGCTAGGAGTTTAACAGGCTAGAGGCTCCTGGCCAGGCCCAGACCCTCCAGTGGGGACCAGGTGGCCAAAGGAGGCCCCAGTCACAGGAGAAGGCTCCAGGGACCCTGGTCCTTGTTATCACCATTTTCATGAACAGTTTCAGATGGAGGGGAGTTTTATAAAGCTATTCACCCTCTCTGTGCTCCATCTCCACATCTGTAAAACAGAAACAATAATTGCATTTCTGTTTTCTACTGACAGTGGTGTCTACCACTCTAGTTGGAAACTCAGGTTCCTGTAGAGGAGACAGCCCAGAGGGAGGGCATGTTTTGATCTGAGGCATGTGATCAAGGAATTCATAGAGAGGGGTGCTGCCTGTGGGCAGGAGGAACGGGGTGGCAGCTTGGAAGCCCACCTCAAGTTCTGAGGCAGGCGGGGGCAGAGGGTAAGCATCTCGCTCTGCCAGCTGCACAGCCTCAGGCAAGTACACCTCTTGACCTCCTGGAGCCTGGGATTCCTCCTTGGAAGATGCTGATGCCAGAGACAACACAGTAAGTTGGAGGAGGGCACCTCACCCAGCACCTGCCACATGCCCCAGACTCACTAAATGCAAGCTGCTGCAAGTATCACTATGCCAGCACAGTAAGAGCTCAAGAACTGGCCTCCTCCTTCCTTTAGGACTCACATATACCCAAAGGCCTTGTGCCCTCCAGAGGAGGAAGAGGAAGAGTATTAACGGCAGCATGGAGCGAATACAAACAGTGCCTCCCCCAACTCCTGTGGACCCAGGAGCTGGCCCCTCACGGGGTTTCTTGGTAAGTGCCAGCCAACAGCCTGGATCACTGTATCCACCACTGGGCAGGACATCCTTTTTGTTTGAACTGCCCTGCAAAGGCAGGCTCCTCCACAAACATCCTGGCCAAATCTCACCAGACTTGCAGGGAGACCCCTGAGCAGGAGAAGCTGACCCGGCAGAACTAGACATTGCTGTCCTGGTCCCATGATGCATTAAGAGTCAAACCCTGGCTTCTTGGTCTCCAGGTAAAGGATATGCCATACCACGTGGACCAGAAGAAGTTTAAGAACTCCAAGAACCGGAAGTAACTAGTGGGAACAGAGTTGACCCAGCGTCCAGCAGGGACACTGCAGGGTGCTGCCTGACTGACAAGAAACCCAAAAGCAGCAGCCACAATTCAAATAACAGCCATTACACACTTTGGGAGGCTGAAGTGGGCAGATTGCCTGAGCTCAGGACTTTGAGAACAGCTTGGGCTAACATGATGAAACCCCGTCTCTACTAAAATACAAAAAATTAGCCGGGCATGGTGGTATGCATGGAGGCTGAGACACGAGAATTACTTGAACCCAGGAGGTGGAGGCTGCAGTGAGCCGAGACTATGCCACTGCACTCTGGCCTGGGCGACAGAGCAAGCTCAAAGAAAACCCCAAAAAACCCCGAATAACAGCCACTGTGGATTGAGAGCTGAATTGGAGCCAAGGACTTCACATCACTGGTTGCAAACTGACAACTTAAAGATGCCTGAGGATCTGGAATGGGCATTGTCTAGCCTGTGCAGTACCTGTTAGAATATGCATACACTGCCAACATTTACAACTTGAGAAATGTCACATAAAAATCTCCATGAATTAGCACATGTGGTTAGACTGGGCCTTTGTCTGATGTGGCTGAGGAGCAGCTGTCTCCTGGAGAACAGGCATGCATTCCCAACTTTACCCTGGTTCCTGCAATTCCCTATTGCCTCACACCCCAGCATTTGTACTACTAGCCTGGCTCCCAACAGGCACCTGAGCTTGTGACTTCTGCATTAGTTCTAATCCTCACCACTATCCCCTGGAAGAGGAGACCTCCCATTTCCATAAAGAGAAATCTGAGGTCTAATTGCCCAACAGTCAACAGCAGAGGCAGCGCTAGTACCAAGGGCTGTCTGACTTCAAAATTTCTGCTTTTTCTATTATCAGCTGCCTCTTGGCCAGAATCATGCATTCCTGAGTGCTCTGGGAACCCTAAGGCATCCCAAAGAGCAGGTGGGCAAGGCCCTGAGGATAGAGAGGAAGGAGAACAAAGTGCACAACCTGAGGCACAGTCCTGCAGGAGGGAGCCAAAGGAGACATTCATCACCACCTGAAGAAAGGCCAGGGTGAACAATGAGAGCATGTCAGCAGTGGAGGAACAGGAGGAACAACAAAGAAGGTCCATGTAAGACATCAAGGCAAAAAATAAATGGCCCTGGACAAGATAGCAGACAAATAGAGGTGTTGGACCCCCGCCAAAAGGAAAGAAAGCCAAAAAAACAAGAAATGCTAGAGACTCATGGCAAAACACCCGCAGAGCTGGGAGAGGGGAGCAGGGCAGGATGCAAGTCCATTTGCTGGCTGCACAATCTTGGGTAAGGATCTTTCCCTCTCTGACCCCAAGGTCCACATCTGGAAACAGGGACAATCACATAATTGTGATAAAGGGACAATGGGTAGCCATCTAGATAAAAATAAAATTGGATGTCTACCATACACATGACATCAGAATAAATTCCAAATGGATCAAGGTTTCAAACATAAAAACAGAAAACCAAAAAAGTACTGAAAGAAAGGGTGAGAAAAAAATTTTTTATAATCTTAAAAGTAAAAAAATACCTAGGTAAGATACAAAACCCACAGAATAAACACAGAAGAAAATAAAAAGGAAACACTGACAAATTCAACAATATAATAACCAAATATCTCTGTATAGGAAAATACGATAAAGTCCAGTGACAAGGGAGAGAAGCTTAAAATGCATACTACATACAAAGGACTGTTTTCCTTAATATTTCAAATTGGAAATATAGAAATGGATTTTTTAAAAAGAGCGACAGTCCAATCAAAAATGTAAATGGTATCAACAGCTAGTTCACACGCAGCACGTTTACTGAACACTCCCTCATGCCAGACGTAGAGTTGGTGGCTGGCACACTTGAGAGGCCAGACAGACAACAGTCCCTACCCCTTGCAATCGAGAACTCACAGTCCAGTAGGGTAGAGCAAAAGCAAACATTAAAACACAGTAAGTGAATTTCACAGTAGGGTCAGAGAGGCTAAGCATCCTGGGGAGAAAGAGCAGGAGAAGTAGGCTCCGAGCTGTCTGCGAAGCAGGTGGCCTGCAATTTTAAATCAGGCTGTCAGGAGAGGCCTCATTGAGAAGGAGCTATCTGGGCACAGACTCAGCGGAGAAGGAGTTGGTAGGCAACAGAGGGAGGAACAAGTGCAAAGCCTCCACATGCGTTTGAGGAAGAGGAAGGAGATGAAGTCAGAGAAATAAGCAGGGGCATAAAGAAATAAAAATAGCTCAAACATGATAAGACATCACACCTTACTAGTAACAAAAAAATGCAAATTAAAACCACTGTACACTGAAATTCTGTTTTTCACCTACTGTACTGACAAAATAATACTGATGATAATACAAAGAGCTAACATGTTGAGTGTTCGGCCTGCCTAGCCCTGACATTCTGGGAGCCTGCTGACACTCTGTGTCACCGCCACCCCCGCCCCCCGCCATTTACAGATGAGGAAATTAAGTCACGGGTCGCAGAACTAGAAAGATAGGGAGCTAGAATTCAAAGTCAGGCTATGTGGCTCCAGAACCCAAGTTTTATACAGGAGGCCGAGTCACCTCAAACATTTGGTAACACTCTTGGCTGGGCACAGTGGCTCACGCCTATAATCCCAACAATTTGGGAGGCCAAGGCAGGCAGATTACTTGAAGTCAGGAGTTTGAGGCCAGCCTGGCCGATGTGGTGAAACCCCATTTCTACTAAAAATACAAAATTAGCCGGATGGGGTGTTGCGTGCCTGGTGTTGCTGCGTAATCCCAGCTACTCGGGAGCCTGAGACAGGAGAAACACTTGAACCCGGGAGGCGGAGGTTGCAGTAAGGCGAGATTGCGCCACTGAACTCCAGCCTGGGCGAAAAAGTGAGACTCCGTCTGAAAACAAACAAACAAACAAACAAACAAACAAACAAACAAACCTTTGCCCATCCACACAGGGGAGACAGATAGTCCTGCCTGTCACTGGGGTGGGGTTGGGGGTAGGAGCAGCACAACGGCAAATGGCCGTCAAACACCCCTGGGGACTAGCAGTGACCCACGTGCACATGGGGCACATATGTGGACACTCATTGCTACGTGTCTGGAAGAGCAAAAGGTCAGAACCAGCCTGACTGCCTGTTGGAAGGGAAGTAGTTAACTAAACCATGACATGTACATAAAACAGAACATGACCCAGCTATTTAAAAACACCACGGTAACTATTCACTGAATAGAGCTCTAGCGGAGCTGGTGTGTTCACTGTGTGCACAGTATATTGCCACTTCTAGAGGATCCGTGGGAGAAAGAACATGCTTAAAAATCATGAAGTGTCTTTGGAATCTTTAGAAGAAAATGGTTATAGCAATTTGCTTCCAGGAAGTAAACTAGGTAAGCAGGGGGAAAAGGAAGATTTACTTTTTACTGTGTACCTTTTTGTACCTTTAAGATTTTGAACTATGTACATACATACGTTACTGACTCAAGAGCAATTTATTTTTAAAAGTAAAGCTTCAGGCTGGGCGCGGTGGCTCAGGCCTATAATCCCAGCACTTTGGGAGGCCGAGGTGGGGGGATTGCTTGAGCCCAGGAGTTCAAGACCAGCCTGGGCAACATGGAGAGACCCCATCTCTACAAAAAAAAAATACAAAAATTAGCTGGGTGTGGTGGTGTGCACCTGTGGTCCCAGACATATGGGAGGCTGAGGCAGGAGAATCACTTGAACCAAGGAGGCAGAGGTTGCAGTGAGCCAAGATCACGCCACTGCACTCCAACCTGGGCAACAGAATGAGACCCTGCCTCAAAAAAATAAAATAAAATAAATAAGTAAGTAAGTAAAAGTAAAGCTTCATATCACTGGAAAACCAGCATAATTTACCATAAGTGAAAAGTTTAAAAAAAGAAGTACAATAAAAGTAAAACACTGTTATTAAGTTCTAGCCAGACATGGTTACAGTAACAGGCACTGAGCTTACAATGTTAAGAGAAGTATAAGAGCTCCCAGCACCAACCTGAGATCTCCTTAAAGTCATCAGAAGGACTTAAAGAATCTTGAAATGGGAATAACTTTCTCACTGGGATCGACGTCCCTTAACACCATATCTGTGCACACATCAAGTCATCTCAGACACAACTCTAGGTATGTACCTGTCCTATTAGGAAACTTGTCAAGAGGCTAGCTTTGATCTACAAGTTAGACAATCCACCTAAGGCAGGGTGGGAGGGTAGCAGAGAGAAGACACCCAGTTATGTCTGCTTAGTGGTCATAAAGATTTTCTGTTAATGAGGTTTCAGCCTTCTGCAAGACCAGTGGAGGAATCCATGGAAATGTCCTCGCACCACAGTCAGCCTTGCTAGAGAGCAACTCCTAAGTCTCTGTCTGGCTGTACCCAAACCATGCTGTCGTATGCAAGGATGGTCACAAAGATGACTCAAGGGTGATGGGCATACGGGAGTCCTATGTACTATTCTTAGAGCCTTTCTCTAAGTTTGAAATGACTTTGAAATAAAAAGCTTAAAAATGAAAAAAATGGGCTGGGAGCGGTGGCTCATGCCTGTAATCCCAACATTTTGGGAGGCCGAGGTGGGAGGGTCACTTGAGGTCAGGAGTTCAACACCAGCCTGGCCAACATGATGAAATGCCATCTCTACTAAAAATACAATAATTAGCCAGGCATGGTGGTGTGTGCCTGTAATCCCAGCTACTCAGGAGGCTGAGGCACGAGAATTGCTTGAACCCGGGAGGCAGAGGTTGCAGTGAGCCAAGATCACACCACTGCACTCCAGCCTGGGCGACAGAGCAAGACTCTGTCTCAAAATAAATAAATTAAATAAATAAATAAATAAATAAATAAATAAAAAGATGACTACAGGTCAGGGAATCGGGGAAAGGAAGAAAGAGAATGAACACATATTGCATGCTTAAGAATGCACCAGGCACATTATTTCAATTAATCTTAATAGCCCAGGAAGGAAACATTTATTATTATTCACACACACAGGTGCAGAAGCTGAGACTTGAAGAGATTTGAAGGATCTGAAGTGACTTGCCCTCAGTCACACAGCTAACAAACTGGAGGACTGGATTAGAACCCAAACCTCCAACTCAACAGGAGAACTTGTACCATGATACTAAGCAATATCGCCTGTCTGCCAGAGTCTAAGAGCCTGCATGCCCACCATGAGGCTGAGGGAAGAGGAAGTTAAGGAGATGCTCAAGGTCAGAGGTAGGGACCTATCTAATGTAGGATGTTCCCTATCTAATGAAAATACAAAATAAAGTGATCTTCAACAGAAGCATGAGGGAGCTCAGGTAGATCTGTAAGAGAACTTCCTGAGAGCAAGGGCTGGTAAAGATGTGGATGGATAACTGGAGACATGATTAAAGAGCTCTTTGGCTAGAAGTTTTCAAAACAGCTGATCCACATCAGGGAAGAAGTATGAATTAAGCCAGGGTTCTCCATCCATGAGCCACCTTCATGATTTCTGCCAGACCCATGGATACTACCTCTACTATTATTTACTCACATGTATGTTTAAATCATATCATTTTTTAAAATTCAAATGCACTTATATTAAAAACAACTTTACATGACCATAAGTACAACACTCTTAAATTTGCGTTAAGGAGAAATTAACTGTAAAGATAAATAAAACATTATTAGATGTTAACTGGATAACATGGCCTGCTGAAGCACTGAGCCTGGAACTCACTCTGCCGAAAAGGGGTCAGTGAGAGGTAGGGGAAAGGTGTGCTGGCACTAAATCCAGGGACTGGAAGAAAACTGGAAAATGCATGACCTTCAGTCCTGCTAAGCCAGAGCATTAATGATGCGCCAGGCATCAGCTTATCGTCAGCCAGGAGCGGCCCACCCCTAGGGAGGCAATGAAGTAGACACTGATCACTGGGAGGACAAGAGGCAGAGTCAGCCTCATACAGGAAGACACACGAAGAGTGGAGGTTTCCAAGCTCCTGTCAGGGCCAAGGAGTCCGGGGGGTGATGGCTGCTTATGTCGCCTTTCCAGATGGAAGCAGACATGAGGGCTCTGTAGGGCCACAGGGCTCCCAACCTAACCAGGGAGTTTTGCCTTTTTGCTTCTTTAAGCTACCGTGTCATAGTCTATCTAGGGTAATCTTTTTAGCTGACTTTGCACAACAGTACAACTCCCGTTCAAGAGCAGTGAAAAAGAGCAGAAAATGGAATTTGAAATGTAGAAATAAAATAATTGTGGCCCATAAGCTATAATTTGATTTCATGCTTTAGGCTTCCTTAAAATGTACAGTTTCTGTTCTCTCCCGCCTCAGTCCCCTTCCCCCCATTTTAACCATTTTAGGATTTCCTCTAGCACTGAAGAGAAAATAGGATTGTGGAAAATGTTCAGTTCTCAAGTGTCACTACCACTCAGGGCAAGCTCGATTTTAATGTGAACTTCCCATTCCGGGTAAGAGGAAATTCTTCAATTAATAAACCGGGTGTGCGGAGGCCAGTCTTTAAGGTTTAATCAATTTCATCTGTACTTAGGATAAAAAGACTGACTATTCTACTTTTTTCCCCTCGTTTTCCTTCTTTAAAAAAATAATAAAATGAATGTTTTATTTTAAATTCTTTGAGGTTCGTATCTCCTGTTTCAGGAAATATTGTCTATTTCATGCAGTGAGTATGAAAACTTCCCCCCACCCCCTGCCCAACTTTTTTACTTTTCCTCCGAATCTTTATTCAAAAATAACTAAATTATCCTTTGCCCTCATATACTATAACAGCTTGGGAGATGATACGAGTTATACAGGATTTTGGCAGACACCTTGAGGGGCTTGGGGGTGGGGGTGGGAACAGAGAGACAAATCACCAAATATGGATACAAGAATTTTTGGACAAAACAGTAAGAGGTAGACACAGGAATGTGAATTACAAAGAAAACCCTAAGCACACTTCACCATCAGCGACGCCTGAAATCCAAACACAAACCTCACCCAGGGAAGAGCCCCTGCCCTGTGTGTCCTCGTGTCTCTCCCAGTTCTCTCAGCTGGGGGAGTCGGGGGAGATACGACAGGATGGCTTGGAATCTCAGAATTAAGCCAGGGAGCCTTCCCAGCAGTGCTGAATAAACACTCAGACTTGCCAACCAACCAGGAACAACAGGCCCTAACAGGGCACCGAGAACCCCTGACTCTTTTGTTACATGACATGGACACTGAGTCCACCTTGGATCCTGGGGCAGGGTTGGGAATCAGGCCCCACAGGAAAGGGCTCAGGGCACAATCCCTGGGGAGGGCCAGCCTGAGTTGGAGCCCCTGCTCCACATACCAGCAGTATGATCTTTCACAAAATGCCTGGGCTTTCCAGGCCTGTTTCTTCATCTATCATATGGAGATGAAACCATTACTAACCTTTTAGAAAGGTATGTGATGTGCCTAGCAGACTGCTTAGAACAAAGAAGGTACCTGATCCATGAGACGGGAGAGCCAGAGTTACAAAGATCTGTGCAATTCAGTGTCATCTCAGCTCTTCCCACAAGGTGCCTTAGGGAAAAGGCTATTTTTTAAAGTCAATATTTTTCACAAAAATTCTGTAACTCTGGGGTCCTGTCAATGTGATTTCCATTGTGAAAATGAGTGGAAAGCCTCATCATTCATAACAATGGCTACCAATTATCAAGGTCTCGATTGGGCTGGCCACAGTGCCAAGCAACAACCCATCCAGGTATGAGAAATCTGAGGCTTGGAAAGTTAGACACAGAGCCCAGTCCACAATGAGGGCTCACTAAAATGAGTGAGGGGGAGGAGGCGAGGGAAGACAGGAGAGAGGGGATGGAGGGGAGGAGAGGAGTAGGGGGACAGTGCAGTCCTATAGCTAGAATGTGGTGGAGCCAGGAGCCAATGCTGGCTCTGCCTGATCTGAGGCAACATAAATTAGTTCCACCGGCCACCTACCTGAAGGTCACCAAAGAGGATTTCTCTTGGAGAGCACCCAGTGATCTCCAAGGGAAACTGTGAAGGAAACTTCCTGGAGTCCTCCATCTCTAGATTTCAGGGCATGCCTACTGATGCATGGGCCACCTTGAGAGTGAGGGCAAGGTGTGTGGGGAGACAGACAGACTTTGAGGGAACATTCTGGATTCTACTTCAACTTTCCCAATCTGCATGCTAAGCGAGACCTGTCTAAAGGCCCTTACCTATTTGAGCCTCAGTCTCTCCTACCTGTAAAATGGGGATCATATACTATAAACAGAGCAGTGTGAGGCTCATGGATACTTGCTAACCAACCTCACTTGGGTCTGGAAGACAGCAGGTGCTTCATCATGAAAGTGATCATTATGAGTGCTCTTGAGCCTGAGTTCCCATTCTCCCTAACAAATGCTATCATTCACAAAGGCCTGTCCTAAAGTAAAGAAAGTGGAGAGCAGTTGTCCCAAATATAAAAGCCTCCAGTGGCCAAGTACAGTGGCTCACACCTGTAATCTCAGCAATTTGGGAGGCTGAGGAGGGAGGATGGCTTGAGGCCAAGAGTTTGAGACCAGTCTGGGCAACATAGTGAGACCTCCAACTTTATAAACAAATTTAAAAAACAAAAATTAGCCAGGTGCAGTGGCACATGCCTGTAGTCCTGGCTACTCTGAAGGTTGAAGGAGAGGATGGCTTCAGCCCAGGAGTTCAAGGTTGCAGTGAGCTATGATCGTGCCACTGTATTCCAGCCTGGGCCACAGAGCACGATCTTGTCTCGAAAGAAAATAAAGAAAAGGAAGGAAGGGAGGGAGGGAGGGAGAGAAAGAATGAATGAATGAAAAAACGAAAGAATGACAGAAAGCGGGCGAGAAAGAAAAGGAAAGGAAAGAAAGGAAAAGAAAAAAGAAAAGAAAAGAAAAAGAGAGATAAAGAAAGAAAAAATAAAAGAAAGAGAATGAAAGGAAAAGGAAAGGAAAAGGAAAGGAAAGGAAACCCTCCAGGGCTGGTGGGCACCTCACATGAGCAACATGGGCTAGGCATAAGTCAAGGTGTGAGACCAAAGGGAACAGAAACTCCCGCACCCCATTTGGAGGGGACCGTTTCTCCTCAGCTCCAGTACACCATGGCCAGACAGGAATGTAGGCCTCAAGTTGCCAGATCCTCTGATTTTTTAAGAGATGCCAAAAATCTGGAATATTATATGAAATTCGCCAATGTTTAAATGTTGACAACCAATTGAAAAAAATGTTTAAACAGCATGGCCCAAACAAAACATGTCCATGGGCCAAGACTGGCCTGTAGCTCCCTAGTGTGAGAACTCTGGAGTTTTCGCTAGAAAGGAAAGTTCGAAGAAACAGAATAAACATCTAGCCTTTTAGGCCTGTAACTATTGGAGTCAGAAAAGCACTCAGGAATCAGTCCGCTATGCCTGGGGTAGGGCAGATTTGACAGCCCACTCCTTCTTTCTCCCATGAGACATGTTTTGCCCATGGTGGGGGTGGGGAAGGTGGATGCCAGGAGGGTCATCCTGGAGGAAAGGACAATGGGCTCTCTGGGGTCCAAATGAGAGCAGACGAATCTCACTCAGCCCTTGCCCCTCCAGTGGGGCCACGTGGGGAGAGCACTTCGCTCTCTAGCCTTGGCTTCTTCCAAAGCTGATGAAAAGGCCGTGCAGAGGCTGCCAAACACTCGCTCCCCAACACTCTGGACCGAGGCCCCACACCTAGTATCATAGCCACAGTATACATATGCTGTGTAAAAACAGGGCCTACTTCATAGACTGTTAGGAGGACTGAAGGAGTTAATGCATGTGAAAGCTCCAAACAGTCTCTGACATTATTTTCTCTCTAGTGGGGATTTTCCCTAGAATTTCAAACATAGGTTTTCATACTGAGTCTCAATATAGCCCCAGGAGGTAGAAAGCCCAGGAATAACCTAAGACAATTATTTCCCTGGATCATGAAGCAGGAAAACCTCAGAGACACCAGGCTGGAATTTCCTCTGGGACAGAAGTTATTCTTACCAAGCCCTTTCCACAAGAAATGAGCACTGTTTTTATAGGTGACATTTAATGTAGTGTTCACTATAACTAGGCTCCGTTCTAAGTGCATTGCATACATCAGCTCATTGAACTCAGTCCTAGGATACAGGTACTATTACCAACACCCCCATTTTGCAGATGATCACATCAAGGCACAGAGAGTTTGCATTGCCTGCTTGCCCAAGGCCAAATTGTCAGGTAAGTGCAAGGACAGGATCAGACCCCACTCAGGCCGCGGACCTGGTATCTAGTAGTGCTATGTTGCCCTCTGTGGAGAAGAGAGTGAGGGTCACAGGAGGTCAAGGTCAGAGACCGACTCCCCAACCCTGACCCTCCTCCCTGGGCAAGGAACAAGAAGGCCAGTGTGGTTGGGCCCCTACCTGCACCACCTGACAGCCTCACACCCACCACCCCCATCTCCTCATACTCCATGCTTCAGCTCCTCACTCAGCCATGCTCTCTATCACCCCAGGACCGTGGCCCATGCACATGTGCCTGGAGCATTCTTCCCACCTTGTCCTTTCTCTGGCAACCCAGCCTTCAAATTTTGGCTAGATGTCACCTCCCAGGTATTTTCCAGGCTCCCTCTCATCTGGAGGTGACAGCCCCTCCTCAGAGCCCCACAATCCCTGTTGCCCTAGGATAGTGCTGTTTGTGACTCCCAAGCTCCTCTGCAGCTTCACCCACTGGGACAGGGACCTGGGCCACCTTATCCCACAGAATCCCTTGCACATGGCAGCAGAGAATAGGTGCTCAACAAATATGTATGAAGTGAATGAAAAGCACTGAGAGGTCAGAGATGACCGGGCCTGTTCAATTACTTAGAACACCCCCTCCAGCAACAATTAATCAACTCTTCTCTAGTCCTCAGTGGTGGCATCCTAGTAACACTTAAAAAGGTTATGTATGCTTGTTTAGAAACAGAAAAAAGGGGAGAAAAGTTGAACAACTGAAGCGGCTGTGCCAAGAGAAAATCAAATGCTGTGAAGATCCAGTGGCCCAGGGCCAATAGAGAGAGGACTCAGGGGCTGCAAGGACTGCATCCACTTGGAGAAGACCCCAGTAATCTGAATGAGGGGAGGATGGGCCCTCAGATATCCGCTTTACAGATTAAGAGAGTAAGACTCAGAGAGGTCAAGGAACTCTCATCCAAGGCCCCACTGGCAGCAAAGGCAAGCACTGGGACTGAGCTCGGGCTCAATTCACCCCCGGACCCAGACTCCTCCTCCCCTATCATGGAAGCAGGGTCTGTCCTCACAAGGCCCCTGAGTTAATGCCGCTCTCACCAACTCTTACACTATGGGTTCCAAAAAACAACAGTTGTCTTAGACCCTTGTAGAAATGGGTCCCCAAGCCACAGAGAGCCCCTCCTCTGAAGCAAAGAAACCAAGGCAGGACATTCTTGACTAACCCTAAGCTGAAGGTGCTGGAAGGGCTTGGGCCAGTGCTCAGGGCCCTGACTCAAACCCATCAGGAGCTTCACCCCATGAAGTGTCCTGAGGGCACTGGGTCACAGAGCCTGCGAGAGTGGACCTAAGAAATTGTTTACTGGGAGAGCAGGAGACCAAAAAAAGAACGGAGTGGGGGGGTAGGGGGAGGAATCTGTCACAAAAAGTAAGTAAAATCAGCAGAATTCCTTCATGAAAAGGGTGGAATTAGCATATGGGCTCAGCTGCCAAGTGAGGCCATTGAAGCAAGCAATGTAAATGAATTCAAGATACAATTAGACATTTTTCTGGATGGAGACAGAGGGACTGAAGAAGGCATGGTAGGTCACATTTCAGAAGGAGCAGCAGGAACACACTGCACTGTGAAGCAGCCTGCAGAGTCCACCATGTCCTGCAAGCCCCAAGCAAGCAACCAGAGGGACAGGATGCAATGGCCCGAGAGGGGCCGGGGCAGGGGGGCCCCCTGGTGGAGGCGACAGGCAGGCCAGGCTGGTGTCCCAGGCAAGCATTCCCACCTTAGTGGGCTCTCCTTCCCCACTATTAATTTCTCAAGATGCCTGATACTGTACCTGCAAAACCAGCTACCCTCTGTGCACCACACAACCCTCTGTGCACCACCATATCTGGGCACAGAAATAAAAGTTTGCTTCTGTTACATTCTGTATGGCTGTCCCTAGGCTGGGTTCTGAACTTCAGAAATTAATCCAACCCAGTCCCTGCCCTCGAGAAGCTTCAGAGTCTTCTGGGGGAAACACACACACACATACAGACAACATCAACACAGTGAAGTATGTAAAAGTTAAATGAGAAGTTTCTGCTAAGCAAGCATAGAAGAGGGGAATTTAGCAACTGGAGGGAGGGAGCAGGCCGGAAAGCTAAGGGAAGGGGCCATTCAGGGCACAGGACACAGCAGGGGGCTACGGAAGCCCCAGCTGCCAGTGCTGCACGGAGGATGCTGAGCATGCACTTCCCCAGGATCTTTGGGGAGATGGCCAGATCACCTCGAGCTTTGTTAGAAAAGGACGGAATGACCAGAGGCACCAACCGCTGGCCCCTGGACCAGATATGACTCAATGGCAACAACTCAGTACAGCTGTTCCCAATCTTCTCAAGAGCACATGTGGCCCACCCAAGGAACAGAAAATGCTGGGTCCTTGTGAGGGACACAATTTATTAGGCCCTCTCTAACCCAATTGGTTCTGATGTCCTCCTTTATGTGGCTTACGGCATGGGCTGTCTAGCTTCGTCAAGCTCCTGGGCCTCTTCCTGAAACATTCATTTCCTTCAAGGTGAAATAAATGTTTACTCCCAGTCACTCTAAAAGGATCACAAGCATTTCCTTTGTGTTCTCAGCACACTTGCTGGCAACGAGTGTTTCCACAGCCCCTGAGCTCCTGCCCCGATTCTTATTGGGGCTCTGTTCTCCGGCATATCCTGAGAGTCAATCTCTTGCATCAATGAACTGAGTCTCTTCAACTGAAACTAGAAATAATTGGTAACACTCTGAGAAGACAATAAGACACATCTGCCTCTGTGCCCAGCACTTTGGTCTGTAAAGCAGCATGAAACCAGACCACCTGAGGAGTGACAGGACACTGAGCAAGTGCTTGGCAGTGTCCTTTCCTTCTCTCCAAAACCTGCAGGTGCTCAGAGCTGGTGTCCTCTCAGCTCCAATGCCCTGCCCCATAAAGCCTGGGTGCCTAACCATCCAGACCAGAGGAGAGAGGAAGGGGATGCAGAAGAGGTCTTGGGGCCAGGGGACAGTGCAGTAGAGATGGAGAGGTGGCTGGTGCTCTGTCCTCCTCCCTGGCAGATAAAGACAACATTATATTTGCATTTATAAACAGCTACTATGTGCCAGGCACGGTGCTGGGGATGCTTACATCTGCATTCACATTATCTTCACAACAACCCTGCAAAGTAAGCACTCTAATTCCATCTTCCAAAGGTGGAAACTCAGTCAGAGAGGTCAAGTCACAGGCTCAAAACACACAGCGAGTGCATGGCAGAGCTAAGATCCCAAAGGCTGTATAGTCTTCTATAACCTTCAGAACTCCCTGTAGCCATGTAGCTTCATTGTAGGGGGCCTTGGCACTGCCTGTGTACCAGAAGCACCTCCTTAAGAATAGACACAAAACCAAAAAAAGACACTGACCCAGGGCTGGGGCTGGACTTGCCTCACTGTGGCATCCAGCCCTGTCTTCCAGAAAAGAGCTCTTTACACCTCCTTAAGAATAGACACAAAACCAAAAAAAGACACTGACCTAGGGCTGGGGCTGGACTTGCCTCACTGTGGCATCCAGCCCTGTCTTCCAGAAAAGAGCTCTTCTGCACTGGTGGGAGGCTTCCTGGAGCAGTGCTCATCTTCCTGTCTGCTTCAGCCCCTACATCTTGGGCGAAACTTGAGGTTGAGGTTACATGCTTCGCCCTACTCGGGGTAACCATGCCTGGGCAGCCAGGTGTAGTACATAAAATATAAAGCTCACTAAGAGGGGTGTGGATTCAAATCCCAATACTAGGGTCTGACCTGAGGAAGCCAATCTACCTCTCTGAGCCTCGGGCTCCTCATCGACATGAAGGACTTGGGGATGTATATGTTCTTATATCCTTTTGTGGAGGGAGGAGGTAGGGAACCATATTTGAAGAACATTTTTCAAGAAAATTCTAAATATAGATAGGGTACTGGATACCAAAGAATAGTTATTATTAGCTGTGCTAATGACATTGATTTACGCAAGAAAATGTCTATATTTTTTAAAGATATATACATAAGTATTCAGGGGTAAAATGACTCAAGATCTCATAAATTTGTTTAAAAATACTTCAGCAAGAAAAGCAGGGGAGAGAGAGATGAAACAAGCACGGTGAAATCTTAGTAACTGTTCAGTCTGCCTGATGGGTACATGAATGTTTGTTCTCTTTGTCCTGAGTATGTTTGAAACCTTTCACTTTTCACATAAAACCTCCTTGAAGGCAGATCTAATAGGAACATGATAAATGTTAAGTGAGAACCTGGGGATAAGGATGCATGCATGAAAAGACCCAAGGGTGACCACAGGAACCATTTGAATACAGAATTAAGTCTGGAGAACTGTGACGTTTATTCTTCCATTAAAATGATGGGCCTCTTATACACCAATTGCATTTACTATCATTCTTGAAAGAAGAAATACATTCTATGAAAATTATTTCACTAACGCCAACTAAAAAAAATCCTGAAGCAGAACTACCAAAAACAGGAGGAGAGGTGTCACAGAGTGGTGCTTCATTTCTCAAGGTGATAGCTTGGGAAATCCAGGCTTAAGCAGGTTCATTGAAGATTTAAAAGTAACCCTTTGTAGAACCATTTTTAGCTCTAAGGTAAAAACAAAAAAACTGTAGACCTGCACAAATGAAAAGAGAATGAGAAACAGAAGATCACATAGAAAATAACAAAAAGAGCAGGAAAGAATAGAAAATGTTTTTTTTTTAAATGGAACATGATGACAAAAGACCAAATATATAATAATAAATGTAAAAGGGATAAGCCAACCTATTTAAACAATGAGGTTTTCAAAATACAAAATATCCCGTTTTTATATCTTTGATGTCATTTCAAATGATTTCTTCTTTTCCTGTTTTCTTCGCTTGTTTTCTGGTTTTCCTGCAGTGCTCACACAACATGCACGCACATGGGCACATGCTCATGGACATCCTATGACTGCTTTTTATGCACCAGGTGCTGGTCCAAGGCACTTTACGAAGACAATCATACAACATTTCTGTGTTGTTGTCACTAAATTTCCCATTTCATACATAAGGATACTGAAGCCCAGTGGTGTCAACGTTACTTAAAGGTACACTCTTTTGTAATTTTGTACATAAACTTTATAACACAATTGGAAATATGTATCACAAGTTGTATACCATAATTCAATAGTGACACAAACCACCTAAAGTCAATGGTCAGACTCCATAGCTTAAGGGTACAGTCCCCAGCAAGACTGCTTTCACTTCAGCTACCAGCTACCAGTTCAGGGGTCCCTAGGCCACCCACACTTCTGACCAGCTGGCTGCAAATCCAGGGGGTTCCCATGACCTCCTCAGGTTAGATAATTAACTAGAACAACTCACAGAATTCATGAAAGCACTATTCTTAGGATTACAGTTTTATTATAAGGGTAAGAATCAGGACCAGCCAAATGAAGAGACACATGGGGTGAAGCCTGGGAGGGCCCTAGATTCAGAGCTTTGGTGCCCTCTCCCTGTGCAGTCAGGGAAAATCACCCTCTGGGCATATCAATGTGTTTACCAATCAGGAAGCTCCCTGAACCTCAGTGTCCAGAGTTTTTACTGGGGTTTCATTACATAGGTATGACTGATTGAATTACTAGCCATGAGACTAAACTAAATTTCCAGCTCCCCAGAGGTCAGGAGGTCAGCCTGATATCATATGGCCCATAGGCCTAACCCTCTAATGACATGGTTGGTCTTTCAGGCATGACCAGTCCCCATCTTGAGTCATCTCCTTAGCATAAACTCAGCTGTGCCCCAAGGGCCCACCATGAGTAACAGAGACACAGTTATCACTCTGGAAATTCCAAGGGTTTTAGAAGCTCCAGGAACCTGGGACAAAGACCAGACAAATTCTTTATGATATATAATACAGCTAAAAAATGTTCATATATTCCTGTCCCTTCCTTCCTTTACAGAATATAAGGCCCCACCCATAAATCAAGCCATCTCATTTTTGGTAATCTGCTCTAAAGAATAATCTGAAATGCAAACAAATGTTCAACATGTTGTGGTTAAAGTGCGTAATATTGTACACAGTGCATACATTCATCAAGAGTAGACAGATAAAGTATGGTAGAGCAAGACAATAAAATAATACAGAGCCATTAAACATGTTTTCAGAGAAAATTTAATTATGGTATAGAAGAAGGCTCATGGTTCAAAACTTTGCTTAAATAAGGATCTAAAATTTTATACCCAGTAGAATCCCTACTAGGAAAAAAATGCCAAAATAGTTAACCCGAGTAACAGGTTAACAAATTATTCTTATTTCTTTCCTATAATTTGCTCTATTTTCCAGATTTTCAACATACATGAGTACTTCTATAGTAAAAAAAAATACTTTAAGCTGGGCGCAGTGGCTCACATCTGTAATCCCAGCCCTTTGGGAAGCCGAGGCAGGCAGATCATCTGAGGTCAGGAGTTCGAGGCCAGCCTGGCCAACATGGCGAAACCCCATCTCTACTAATATACAAAAATTAGCTGGCTGGAGTGGTGTGCACCTGTAATCCCAGCTACTGGGGAGGCTGGGGCATGAGAATCGCTTGAACCCCGGAGGGGGAGGTTGCAGTGAGCTGAGATCGTGCCACTGCACTCCAGCCTGGGTGACAGAGTGAGATTCTGTCTCAAAAAAAAAAAAAAAAAAAAAAAAAACTTTGAAAAAACACACGAAGAATAAAACTACCTACCCTAACTTCCATGAAGCATTAATAAGATAATTAATCTGAAAGCACATGGCAATGACTGCATTTTTAATACATTTTTAATACTTAGAATTTCTTTTTGGTTTGTTTTCAAATTTATCTACCCTTTTTTCATAATGTCCTAATCTTGCTATAATTTCTATTCCTTTATTTACATTTCAAATATTCTTATTTTAAATTCTCTTTCAGATTGTTTTATGGTTTCTAGTTTCCAGGATCTGAGTTTTCCCACTTGAGAATCCATAGATTCTCTTTCTCATGGTGGTAATTTTTCCTGTATGCCATGTAATTTTGTCTGTAAACTCCTCTTCAGCAAACGTTGTTTTCTGTGGGGGCTTGCACATGTGTGCAACTGTAAAGGCACCCCCATAGGGAGATCAGGGGCTACGGCAGCCCAGGGCCATAAGGAGTCACCAGTTTCTATGTTAATTTCTTGGCTGAGGATTTCCATTAGCACCAGTGATGAAGATATGAGGCCTGCATCTGAATCCATGCAATCTCAGGAATTCTGTCCTCTCCTGGGTGAAGGAAACTTTCTCAGCTCACCTCGCAAAGCAAGCAATTTAATCTCCACCAGTTACAGGCAACTTCTTGTCTTTTTTCTTAATTTACCAGGTGAACCTCACATCTCCAATCTGTATACCCCTGGAACTAACTGGCTTCCATTCATATTCCCTGCTGAGAATTTGACCTCCTTTTCTAGTCTAGCTCTTGAAGATGCTCCTTTCTTGCTTCTCCACCTGGCTGCATATTTTTTCTTCTCTTAGTGTTTCCTCACTTTATCCAGCATTTCAATGTGTTTGGGACACAAGGCTTCCAGCAGCAGCATGGCCCACCATGTTAACTGGAAGTCTGAAAAAACATGGTAAATTGCAAGGTGCAAGTGTGGCACACCTGTGATGTTTCTGAAGTTCTCCTGTGAGGGACATGCACTATCATGTTATTTTCAGCACTCAAAACACTGATGGAAACCAAATGTACTGAGAGTAACGAGAATTCACTTTGGTGAACAGAGAAATATAAACAGAGTTGTGTTGTAGACTCCATATCAAAAAGACTTGGACTTGAACCCTGGCACTGCCAGCTGTGCCATCTGGGGCTACTCATCTGTCCCACCGCCCAGCCACAGGGATAGCATAAGAACTGGCAGCAATGCACATACAGCACTGAAGAGGAAACACAGGCTTGAAGCCGGGTCTGTTGCAGGATACTCCCGGGAGGTTGGCCCTTTCTCGCCTGATCTGACAGCACACATTCAGGGACAGGCTGGCATCATTCTGTACTGGTTCCCTCAGGCAGGCACATAGTCAGGGCCTTAGAACAGTGAGTTAGAAGTGGGGAGCAGAAGGGCATAACATCTCTATGGGACTGGCACAGGAGGCTTCTTGCATGTGGAGGAATCCTCAGACTGCATGGCGGGTAGCATCCATAGCCATACTTCACCAGGGAATGGGGGGAAGCAGGCCAGCCGCACCTCTGAGAGTATGTTGTTGTTGTCTCTTGTTTCCTGTGACTCTCTCTGTGAAGCCCCATCATTTGACAGTAAAGACACCTTATGGTCTCTACGTGTGCTGGGGCTTTGGTATCAGTGATGGCACTGTCCACAATGAACAGCCACATAAACACCATGACGGAGCACTCAAGAGTGGGAGTAATTGAGATTATTCCTGGTTCCACCTCTAGAGAAGCAAAGTGTTCAATTCATTTAACTCCAAAGATATTTCCTGAAAGGAACTCAGGCACCTTTGCTTGGGAGCACAGACTCTGGAGCCAGAATGACTGGGTTCAAGTCTCTGCTCCACCACTTATAAAGCTAATGACTTTGTTAAGTTACTCACTCTCTCTGTCCTTCAGTTCCCTCATCTCCAGGAGTTGTAATCCTATAACTAGGACTAGATTTGTAGTGCTACCACATGGAGTTGTGGTCAGAAATATCTGTTACTGTATTAAAGTGCAGAGAACAGAGCTGCCACCGCAAATGCAAAGAGTTTACCATTTTTATTACTGCTATTCATTCTTTCTGCTCATGCATGATATTTAGGAACAATACTGTATTCCTTGGACACAGCTCTAAGTATAAAAGGGATAATTTTTTTCACTAATGACTTCAAACAGTAGGGTAGCACTGGGTCCCAGGGACACACTAGATGGGCACTCTTTCGATATTCATTTAGCCAAGAGTTTTTTTCTTTTTTTTTTTTCTAGTGTCTATTACATGCCAAGCACTATGCTAAGGGAATGCAGCCATTTAACAAAACAAATAAGGTCCCTGTCCTCATGGAGTTTACATTCTAGTGTGAGATACAAATAATGAATAAATATTTTCTGCATAGCTTGTACAGAGAGATAAAAGCTGCACAGAAAATAAAACAGGATTATGGGATAAAGTGGTGGGAGGTGATGAGGATATTATTCTAAAAAGGGTAGTCAAGAAGGTTCCCTTGGAAGATAAAAGGGATGGGGAAACAGCAAGGAGAAGGCCCAAGTGAGGAGCAGGTCTGAGGGGGAGAAGGAAGACCCAAGTGGCTGCAGACAGCAAGCCAAATGGGGGTGACAGGAGTGGGCTGGGTCACCAGGAGCCTTGAAGGCTGCAGTATGGAGTCAGGATTGTATTTTACTGTTAACAGAAGGCCAAGGGCAGTTTTTCAAGTGGGGGAGTGATATAACCCTGATGGATGTTTCAAAAGGTCACTCTGTGCTGTGTGGACAATGTATATCAAAGGACAGAATGGCAACAGGGAGGCCAGAGGGCAGTTGCTGCCATCACTCCAATGGGAGATGAGGTGGCTGGGGCCAGGATAGCACTGGGGAAATGGTACCACTGCACCAAAGCACACTGCCTGAATGAGTCCGCTCAGCCATAGAGGGAGGCAAAGTCCGAGCAGAGGCATCCAGCACAGAACGTCCACTCCTCTGCTCAGGCCTCGGCATAGCCTCCTCTCGTGGTCTCTTCCAAGGTCCATCTCCCCACTGCACCGTGAGCTTCCTGACGGCAGGCGCTGGACATTATGTACAGAGCACAGTGCCCCACCATGTGCTGAAAGTTCTGAGGGAATGCCTAACTGAAGGAGGACATAAGAAAGAGAAGAATTCTTATGTTCCTTAGCAGGAAGTCTACAGATAATGTCTAAAGCCAAACAAAAAGTAGCACAATAAACATGGTGTAAAGATTATATAAAAATAATAAGCTAAGAGTTGCAAATGGTTGCCTTTGGGGTAGGGGAGGCTCTGTTCTTATTCACTTGCTTGTCCAGCTTCTTTACTAGCCCGTCAGCTCCAGGAGGGCTGAGTCCCTGCTCCTGACACACGCAGCACACTTAAGTGCCGAAACAATGAACAAGCAAACCAACGGCCAGTCCGGAATCACTCCTTCAAACCCCAAACCCAAGCCTCTGGAAACATACCAAAGGAATGTCTGAATGGACACATCTAAAGCAAGAATTAAACATAAATCAAGACGGTTGAGCAGCTTGAGTAGTCCACTCTAAGACATGGACACTGCGCTTGGCCCAGAAAGCTAGCCGCATCTGTTTGCTTAAAGCAACTAAGACAAAAATTGTTTTAAGTTACAGCTGGTGTCTGGCCACTCTATCAAGCACTTAAGATATAGAGCTGATTATTTTCTGGCAACAATGAAGAAAGAAAGGCTGAAAGTACGGTGTCCTGTTACCAGCTGTTTCCGGAGTAGTTCTTACAGTCTATGTCTGTGAAGGGGCCAGAGCCAACTGAAGAGGCCTATACATGAAACTTGTTGTGGTTTGTCTCTTTTTTCTTTCATTTTTCCCCTTATTCACTTCACTTACTTAAATCACAAAGAGTATAACCCTTTGGAGAGCACCTCTGTGTACTCTCACTGCTAGTTAAAAAGCCCCTTAAAAGGGGACTTGAAAAACCAAGAAAAGAAACATGTATCCACTGTGGTCTCTTGGTCTTTACCCATTTACTTGGATTCCAACACACACTCTCCACTGACCTGCTGTGTGGCCTTGAGCAAACCCCTTAACCCCCTGAGCCTGTTTCCTCTTCTATAAAGCTAGGATGATGAAATGTACCTGAAAGAGTTGTGCAGCCAAGTGGAAAAATGTTCGCATAGTTCCAGGCACAAACCCTGAAATATAGAAGATGTTCCCTAATTAATATTTGACTCTTTCTCATGACTCACACCTCCCTACTCCCCATGATGCTGAGGTTTCCCCTGAGGACTGTCCCCAGGACAATAATCACAGCAAGTGTGGAAAAGAAGACCACAGCCAAGGCAAGTTATATACATGGGCAGTGGGGGACCAGGGGGGGCTGGTGCTATGCCCCAGGTGCTCGTGTATTCCTTTAATTCAAACATGTCAAATTAATTTGAACATGTTCAGGCAGGCCCTGGGGAAGGGAGCAGGCCCAGAGGGTCTAGGCCTAGGGTCCTGAGAGCCAAACCAATGGCCAAGGTGCACGTGAACACATTAAAGGGTCACGGGTCCTTAAGCCCTTCTGCTGGGAGATTGAGGGAGGCAGGATCCTGTCTTTCCTGTCTTTGGTTCTGCTATGGCAGCCTAAGGTGAATGAACAGGACACCACTACTACCCAACCCCATTTCACCCTGGGATGTCCACCAGTGAGCACATGGTGGACCCTTGGGTGACACTGAACCAGGGCTTTATGGCAGCCCCATGTAGGCTAGGTGTCCCTTCATCCCTCCCCACCACTACCACCACAGACCTTACCTCTGTCCCACAGTGAGGGATGAGGATTACATTACTCTCCATCCTATCTCGCCCTATTGCTGTAAGGATCAACAAGTATGCATAGAAGGCCCTTAGAATGGTGACACACAAAGCAAAAGCTATCAGCTCTCATCACTAGCATCTACAGAGGTGAGATTAAAGGGTAACTTTTATTTTCTTCTTTCTATGTTATTTTCCAAAATTGGGATAAGAAAATGTACTTCATGATAAATATAAATACTTATAATAAAAATTATTATCTACTATAATACTAACATATGAATACTTGAGCTACATATGTACGTGTCCAGCCCAGGCAGCCAGAGTCTCCATCTATGAGGTCAAGTATCTGAAAAGTTTTCAGGATCACTGCCAAAGCCAGGGAACAAAGACTGTCCCTGCCTGCATCCCTTCCCAAAGTATTCTGTCCTACCTATAGCCCACTGCCTTCAATCAGTCACAACTATGGGGACCACACGGAGATCTGTCCCAAGAGTGCTCTAGTCAGAAACTGACCAATGTCATGTGACCTCTGTGAGCAGGGCCAACAGGGCTCCCCTGAGGCTCTTGCAAGCAATTCACTGGGAAACAGGGCCAGTGAGCTGGGCACTGAGGCTAAGGGTGTGACAGAGACCCCATGTACGGCCAGCCATCAGAGGACAGTACAGGCGTGAGTGGGCTGGTCGAGGGGCAGAGGGGCAGGTGGGTGGGCAGGTAACGTGGCTGAGGCAGGTGGAAGGCCTAGCAGGGACATCACTGTGGCTGTCTGGTATGGAGAGCCACCTGCTCCAACTTGGGCTTAGCATGCCCAGCCCAGGCACAGCTCTGCTGCTCCCAACAAATCCTTTTACTAGAGCCACCTTGAGCTAGTTTCGGCTTCTACAACCAATCAAGCCTAAACTGCAGCTCCAGATCTGCAGACTGGTTAGTGGACATGAAACCACCCCGCAGTGGAAAATGAGCTTGGTGACTGGCCAAGCTTTGATGTTCCTCCATCCCACAACTGGCCCGAGTCTCAATTTGTTTATTTTTCTGTATAACTTTTGCAGTGTTTCAACTAAATGGGACAGTTTTTATCAACAGTTTCCTGAGCAAGAAAAATAGCAGAATGCTTGGTTTGAAATGAAGACTGGTGGATCTGCTGGGCTGTGTGATGTATGAGAAATTCTCCTCCTCTGAGAGATTTGGAAACCCATGCAAGAACTATGCATCCCCATTGTTATGGAGACCTAGCACTCCACTGGCACAGGGTCTCTTTCCCTTTAGGATCGCCTCTCTCCCCTTCTCAGTCCCTAATGTTTAGACAGTAGGAACTCTGGTCCCAGCTCCAGGGATAGGCGTGGGACCTAGAGCTGGCCACTCAGTCTCTCCTGTGCTTTTTGCTGAACTAGGAAATATCTCTTTCTGTGAGAGGGGCAAACTTGGCAGAAAGCAAGCAGAATGGATGGCAGCTCTGCAATCTCACAGGAGCCGGGTGGCCTAAGAATTAAGCCAGCATGAGGTAAGCAATCTGGAAAATGGGGCAGTGTCCTAACAACATTATTTGAGGCCCTGGATCCAGCTGTGCTTAAAGCTAGTCCTCACAAACTTCCTGGTTTTAAGAATCAGTTTGGGGTGGATTTTTGTCCTTTATAACCACAGATTATAGACTAATACAGTGTATTAGCCCATGTTTTAACAATGCAGTTCAACTCAAGCATCATTATTTTAATAGCTTTATAGCATGTTCCATGCCAGTGAACTGACTACTCATGTGCATCATCTCATCTGATCCATCAACGCTGTCCAAGGTGCACTATGACTACCCTTACTTCACAGACAGGATCCTATGAAGTAGTTAACTTCTGCCATCACCGTCATAATCATCATCATTTTATCCAAAGTCACATAGACACTAGGGAGTGGAGCCAGGATCCTAACCCAAGTCCTCTGAATTCAGACCCAGGTTCCTTCCCCCAGGGAAGGCCATGTTGCCTCTGTGTGCTCAATCTCATCTTAAATGCAGGCAGAGAGACACAAAAGGAGCTTCACCCCCTAACATTCAAGTGCATGCAATCACCTTCAAATAAGACATATATCCATGAACCAATTAGGGTTGCTGAGAGCCATAATATAATTGAGATCCCAAATGTGTGGTCCAGGTACTATTAACATGGCAGAAAGGCAAGGAGGTGAAGAGACTACACTTCAGGGCTGGATATTGGTGTATAATCTCACCAACATTATTACAACCACAATAATGAAATACTATGTCTTCTAATTCAACTCCTCACCAGCCACCTCAACTTTCCCACATCCATCTTCAACAAAGGTTTCTGATGTTACATGATTTTGCTGTTACCTCCTCCTCCTCAGGAAAATCATTCACTGGTATCAGTGCACCCAGAGGAACACCAGATCGCAGCTGTAAGTGCTGCCCACCACCATCTTCAAAGAGCCTTCCTTATAGCTTTCAGGTGGCACAGAGCAAGATAATTTCCAGTTTCCCTCCGGGAAATGAAGAGATCCCAGGTAATTCTATAATCCTATCATACATCATTAATATTCTAGTGTTAACTGATGGCCTCTGGGCCTGTACTAGGTCATTTTCTATTGAATACATATCTTAACTGGTGGCCACAAATGGTTACTCAATGATTTCTGCCTCATTGAGACAAAAATTTCAATTTAGCCACCTCATTTTATATAACTAAGAAAACTGAATTTTTTGATCTCATATCATATTTTCTAACCAAGTTACATTATATTAGTATGTGTCACTGAATGATTTTTCTTAGGTCAAAAATTTTTCTTATCAAATTATAATACAAAATTAAAGATATGTTCCAGAAATGAAAAGTCAGCAAGGACTTCAAAAGGACCTGAAGGAAAGTCCCACAGCACAATGGTTCTCAAATGTTCATCATTCCTGGGCCACCATTACAAAATTAGCTGAAAGAACAGAATACTGAACACAGCACAGCCCTCGCCTCACTGCTGCCAGCTGTTAGCAGTATGCTACATTTGTGTGCATTCCTGCATGTTCTCGTTCTCTTTCCATATACATATATGTGAATATATATAATGCTGATATATAAAAAGGATTCCCAAACCATTTTAAAGCAGGTTACAGTTACAATGACACTGGAGCCCTTACCATCTGTCTTCTAAGAATTAGGAGATTCCCCTACCCAAGAAATTTAACACTGACTTATACCATAATATTACTTAATCTATTGCCTATATTCAAATTTCTCCCAATTGTCCCCATTATGTCTTTCAGAGGTGTTCTTTATATCTTCCAGATTTGTTGTCTTTAGTTTCCTTTAATCTAGAAGCATCACCTGCTCTTTACTTGGCTGAGGTTGGGGCAGGGAGGTTAGTTCTTTTGTGACTTTGACATTCTTGGAGAGTCTTGCCTGGTTTATTACTTACTTAATATTTTCCTTTAAATTGACTTTTTTTAAATACTAAAACTATAAAACCAAAAAGAAAGCAAAAACTTCCATAAAAAGTACAGATTTGATGTACTACTTATTTGATTTTTTTCTAACGTACATTAAAGTAAGTATGTGAGTTTAAAACTTAATGTGCCTGTCCACTGGTCTTCCCTCACGTGGCCCGGCACTCCCCGTGAGACATGACCTCAACCCTGCTGGGTCCTGCCCAGCTTCACCTGACTCCCCCACAAGCAGGAGCTCAGCATCCCCAAGGGCCCTGGCACTGTGTAAGGCAGTTCCTGGGCTACAGAGCCCCTTCTTCCTCTGGATCGTTCAGGACCTACATGCCTGTGACCTCTACCATGTCTTGAATGGCACTGGGCCAGGTATCTGAAGTGTCAATTCTTCAGGTACAGACAAGAAAACAGGCTCATAGAGATTAAGCAGCTTACCCACACCCTCCAAATCAGCTAGACTGCATTTTCTACTACGCCAACTACATGCCAAGGACATGCCAAGCACTTTCTTCCCGTCACAGCTAAGGCTCCCCAGACCCTTCACCTGGTATCACCAACCAGGGGTATCATCAATCCCATGTTCCAGGTGAGGAGCCTAAGATCCGGAAGACGAAAGGTTTGCCCAGGCCACACAGCCTATAAGTAATGCAGCAACTGCCACAACCCAGGTCTCGGACCTAGCGTCCTTGCTCTCCCTCCCACTCACCCTAGCCAAGGCTTTCCTTGGGAGAAATACCACCCATGAGGCAATGCAGAAGGTGTGGTGGGCAGCCAACCCCCACTGAGGGTCAATGAGAATTTGTCAGATTTGCTATTAAAACATGAGACCAAGGATGGAAGCTGGCGCTGCAGATGTGTGCTAGCAGAGGACTGCTGCTCCCCGGGATGTGGCTGCCATGCTCCCAGGAAGGCAGCCCTGGAAGGAGCTGGCTGATGTGGCAGCGCCAGCCCATCACTGCCTGGGGAGGCTGGTGGCCGGCTTGAACTCGCAACACTCGTCCTGTTTATGCTTGCTTCATTTCATCATGTTGGCTTTGGCTCACTGTCCAAGCCCACAGAGACTATCTGAATTTTGATTCTGCTGTCTCAAAGAGGGTAGAAACTATACCTCCAAACATGCTTTTACTCCTCTCGAATGCCATTTTTAAAAACATTGAACAGAAGGCCAAAGCAAAAGCCCTGTTTCTAAACCAGATCTTCTCCATGTCGACATAGGGCTTTTAACAAATGTTCTTAGGATGTGACTGCTCATTCGGTTTTAAATCCTTTTCCTGGGTGGCCCTCACTCCATTACTTTATGCACTCAATATCAGGGAGAGGTACCAGCAGCCTTCCTGAGGTGAAGATCAAAAGCAGGGCTCTGAGTCCAACAAGAGCCCTCTGGGGCCCTTCCAGACCAGAGCACTTCTGTGAAGCAGAGGCCCAGAGGCTTACAGGCCAGCAGAAGCATGGTGGCTGGTCTCTAAGGAGCAACACATGAAGTTCACTCTGGTACTAAAGGTAGTGGCAGGAACACCTCTGATGAGGGTCAGCCCCTGTCCAGATATGAGCTGGGGCAGCTCCCCAGCCTCCCAGGGGCTCCCACAGCCTCCAAAGAAATCATAGACGTTTCCAAACTCCCATTTCACACCAACATTCTGTGAGTGTTAAGAAGTGTATGTATTTCTGGCTGGGCGCAGTGGCTCACGCCTGTAATGCCAGCACTTTGGGAGGCCGAGGCAGGCAGATCATGAGGTCAGGAGATCGAGACTATCCTGGCTAACATGGTGAAACCTTGTCTCTACTAAAAATACAAAAAAAAGTAGTCGGGCTTGGTGGCGGGCACCTGTAGTCCCAGCCACTGAGGAGGCTGAGGCAGGAGAATGGCATGAACCCGGGAGGCGGAGCTTACAGTGAGCCAAGATCATGCCACTGCACTCCAGCCTGTGCAACACAGCAAGACTCTGTCTCAAAAAAAAAAAAAAAAAAAAAAAAAAAAAGAAAAGAAAAAGAAAAGAAGTATATGTATTTCTTGCCAGGTGTGGTGGCTCACGCCTGTAATCCTAGCATGTTGGGAGGCTGAGGCAGGCAAATTGCCTGAACTCAGGAGTTTGAGACCATCCTAGGCAATATGGTGAAACCCAGTCTCTACAAAAAATACAAAAATTAGCTGGGCACAGTGGCATGCACCTGTAGTCCCAGCTACTTGGGGGGCTGAGGCATGGGAATCACTTGAACCAGGGAGGCAGAGGTTGCAGTGAGCCGAGATCACACCACTGTACTGAGATCACAGAGCAAGACTCTGTCTCCAGAAAAAAAAAAAAGAAGTATATGTATTTCTCTTTTGGTCAGTCTAAATTTTTACATGTTGTATTGTCAAGTAACAGTATGTTATCTCTAGATACCTCATATTCATAACAGCCTTCCTAGAGCTTGGTGGTGTGGCTCACACCTGTAGTCCCAGCCACTCAAGAGGCTGAGTTGGGAGGATTCCTTGAACCCAGGAGTTCAAGGCTTCAAGGAGCTGTGATCATGCCACTACACTCCAGCCTGGACAACAGAGCAAGACCCTGTCTCTAAAATAAATAAAATAATAATAAATAGCCTTCCTACATTTCTGTAGAGGTGAGAGGAGGTTAACACACAACAACTAAGGGCAATAGCACCCATATTTTAAGCATATAGTATACCTTGGGCTAAGACAGCTCTCTATGATCTCTAGTCCTCCAAAACACTCTGCAAAATGGATATTATTAACCCTGTTTTGCAAATGACAACATAGAGACTTAAGGACATGCCACTGTCCAGGCTTAAACAGCCAGTAAGCGACAGAGGATGTCTGACCACCAAGCTCTGGCTTTCCCACTACTCCTTTCAAGGCCATTTGGCAGTTGGCGAAGTCAGTCTAACAGATTGGCAGGACATTTTCATTTCTGCTGCCTAGAAAGCAGACAGAAATGGGCAGGAAAAAATGCCAGTGATGCCCAGCTGGCCTGATGCCTAAGTCTCTGAACCCTGACAGAAGGAGCTCTTCTGCAGAAGATAAAAGGTCAGCAATCAGCATTTTCTATACCAAAATTCCCACCAAACACAAGAATGCTCAATGTCATGACACGTGTGAATCAAGGCTTCTTTCATTCCAGGGGAAATCCGTAGGAATTGGCTGAATCTGAGGCTAGCTTTCTCCAAAAAATTCAGAGATGTAATTGGGAAGCTAGAAGGAACTTAAAATAAACATTGCTGACTCTGGGCTCTGCCCTGTGCCACAGTTATCCCAAGCACTCTACCACTAGTAACCTTCCCAATCATCCTTAAGGTTGGGGTTTACAATTTTTCACCGTCGAAAAAGGAAACCAAGATCCTAGATGTGAGGGGTGAAGCCATGGGTCATGCACAGATTTACCTGGCTCTAAAATCAGTTCTCTTTCCACCCACCAGAGATCTGGAGTTACATACACATAATCCCTTACTCCCCTGGACACCTACATACTGACTTCCTGCAGAAGCCTCAAGTCAGCGTGCCTCTCTGCCAACTACTCAATCTGCCTCTCTGCCAACTACCAACCTCAGTCTGAGCTGCTATGACCTCTCCAGGAGACCAAGCCAAGTCATTTCTGGGACCCCCTTCTCTGTTTGTCCCCCAGTCCTGCCATTCTCTCTACTAAATAACGAAACAGTTTCTCCTACCATTCTATGGGCATAGCCCCAAAGCCCAGACCTCTGCATTTCTCCCCTGGGCTTCTTTTTTTCTTAAACAATGGATTTCCTGCCTCCAGTCTTACCCATTCGGAACCACCACCATCCATAAAAGTACACAAACTGGCTTTCTAAAGCAAAGAAAGGTGCTCCTGTTTACAAGCCTTCAGTGGTTCCCCACTGCCCAGAGCAAAGTTTCCCAAAGTGGGAGATATTTTTGATGGCACACAGATCTGGCATTATATTGTAAGAAAATTATTAACATTTTGGTTATCTGTCCATTTCTTTGATTGAACGATGAGCAAGTCTCAACTGGGGACATAATCTACTTATTACCTCTCTAAAATACCCAAATCTCCCTTTATAACAAAAGCGAATCATAGCTCAAGTTCATAGTTTGTAGCTAGAATTTGACAACTGTTTGGTTTTCAGCATGTGTGCGTGTATATATGTGTACTTGTGTACATACGTGTGTTTATTCTACTTTTGCAAAGGCTACTGGTTTTTCACTTGCCTTAGTGATGCAAAATTTCCTTATGATTATCTACAATTTAAAAATTGGATTATAAAAATATATTAAATCAGAATATATATGGCATTGAGCCTGTAAGAGAGATGTGAAGATGGTTCTAAAATGACTGTAGTTTGAGTAAGACTGGCGCCTAGCCTTACCTAGCACCCAAAGGAGTTCTCCCAGAAGCTGGCCCATACCATCCAAGTTCCCCACATCTCTTCACTGTCTTCCCCTCCTACACTCCCCCTCTACTCAGACACACAAACCCACCATTTCCTGAATTAGCCATGGTCTTTCAAAGCTTCATGCCTCTGCAGGAGCTGTCTACCTTGCCTAAACCAGGTTTCCAAGAAAAGTCTCACCTAGTACAAACACTGTACCTCACTCTTTAAGATTCACGATACACCGAAGTGTATTAAGGATGAAAGGCTCTGAGAAGTTCTTTAAGGGGTGAGAGCAATTGCTGAACTGAGTTTAACCAGCATCTCTCAACTAATGGGTTCTCTTCTTTCCCCACATTAACATGCCATGGAACACATGTTCTACAAAGTATGCTTTGGGAAACGCTGGCCTAGAATGTTCTCCTTTCCCCTGATCTGATCAAATTCTACTCTGAACTTATCCTTCAAGAACTCACTCAAATGTCATTTCTTTGAGAAGTCTTTCCTCCCTCCCCACATAGAATCAGTTGTTCTCTCTCATCTATGCTCCTATAAGACTGTGAATTCACAACGTATGGTTTAATTCATGGGAATTCAAAGGTAAGCATTCAGTGAGAAGTAGTGCAGGAGCTTTTGCCCAAAACTCCATTTAATAAGCCGATGTGCCAAAGTGACCCCTGAATTGTCGCAGTTCTCACAGGCCCCTCCCAATGTGGCCATCTCACTGGGTGAGCTGTGACTCTAACATCTGATAGAGATTTTTCATAAAACATAGCTCCTAAACATCAACCAACTGCTTCAGCTAGGCCCCACCTCAGACATAGCAATCCACTCAATGCCAGAGGAAACACTGGCCCTATGTGGAGCTCACTGAGGAGCAAGGCATTCATCTTCAACACAGCCCCTTCCCAAGGAATTTTCAAGGTCAATTCTGGCAACAGATTGCCTTGGGCACTAACACTACACCTGAACATTCTTCAGGTTGAAGGTGTGACTCCCTCCAGCACTCACTAGATAGAGTTTGTCTACAGTTTCAAGTCTCTCCCTCTAGACTATGAGCCCCATAAAAGCAGAACAATTTGGTCATTTTTCCTGAGCCTAACTTACAGTCATCATCCAATATCTATGACATCACGGACAGAAGGGAGAAAAAGAAGCGCAGGTCAATAGAGGTCAAGTAACTTGGGTGCCTGTTAGAGTGAAATCCGCAACAAAAAACTCTTAGTGTGCTAACAGGACCAAAGAGGCTTCCCGTCCAACCATCCGCCACTTAGAGGCAGAGACCAGCCTGTGCTGGAAACTTGAGGCAGCCCCACACTATGTGGGCTGCTCCATTTTAAATCACTTCCTTATCTGGATTGAGCCAAAATCCAACTTCCTGTAGTTTCCGTAGCAGTACTGATCCAGACTCCCGGGACAGAAAATTTCCCAACAGTGGGGACAAGAAATCTGGCATTTACCAAAGGAAAAAAAGAAACAGGCAGGTAGGCAACCTTCCCAGGTAATTCTGATGCTACCAACAGCCTAGCACCCCCTGTCAGAACTGAAATCTGGGGGTGCCACAGACAATAAGCCCTGAAGTCAGACCAGAAGTTCATTTGGCAGCCAGATGAATGTCGAAACTCTCTCTAGAACCTTTCAGAAATTCTCAGGGGTCCGTGATTATTAACAGAGATCTTCTCATCTAGAATTTTACTGAGCTGTCTACCCATTATCAGTCCTGGCTTAGTAAACTCCAAATGGAAATTCTGAACAGCAAAGAAGAAAAGCTTTGTCAGATAGCACCCTGTGTTCCTGCTTTGAATGCCAACATGGAACAAAAACATTAAGTCAAAAGAAAGGTCTAGTTTACGTTATCCTTATCTTGTTAAGCGTGTGTGTGTGTGTGTGTGTGTGTGTGTGTGTGTGTGTATGCAATGTGTCTGTGGGAGAGGGGAAAGGCTTAAAGATGCAATGAGATTTTGACCCAATTTTGCAGATCTCAAAATTGGATCCTCACCTTAGCGACCCAAGAGTCCAAGCCTCCCTGGCAATTTATAATCGAGTGGGTGTTAAAAAACAAACAATGTGGCTCCTCTTCATAGTTCACAGTTAACATAACCTCCTAGGGGAGCCACAAGATGGGCAACACACTCCAGAGACCTGCTCTCACAGAGCCAAGGGAAACTGAAGCCAGACAATTGAAAGCAAGGAGTCAGGAAGATGGAGGGAAGAAAATGGAGGGAGGGGGGAGGGAAAGAGAGAGATGGAGGGAGGAAGAGAGAGAAGGAAGAAGGGAAATAGAGGGAGAGAGGGGAGCAGGAAGGGAGGGCTGGCCATCTTTAAATACTGTTTTATAAGACTCTTACTCAAATTGAGCTAGGTTAGATGGTTCAGAATTAAGCAAGAAGCCCTGAATTATAGCAGTAGAAGTACTCTTCTTCACTCTGATATCCAAAGATGCAATTTTCTTGAACTAGGGCTCTTAAGGGGCCCCCTCAGCTGCAGGCAGAAGTGCTGCACGGGCCAGTCTGGGTCTGGAGAGTGAGCCTGTGTTTGGTGCGGACTCCTGGCTGTCCACCCACTGCTCTTCCTACAACTCCAGCTGCTCCCTTCTACACCTGGGCTTATTCTGTCTCCGGGCCAGCCGTGAGAAGTCGGCAGGGCAGCAGAAGTAAAGTGAAGTCCCCAACCCAGCTCTGCACTGTCTGTGTCTCAGCATCCTCATCTGTTAGACAGAGAGGAGCCCACCTACCTTACAGGTCACTATGAGGATCGAAATAATATGTTGAGCAACCAACGTTAATAAGCAAATCATAAAGGTGATTATTATATCTACCCTCTTTCTCTCATATCAAAAGGTTTTCACCTCTTCACACAGATCCATGGCCACTAAGAGAAACTACTGCCAGCAGCTGTGTTTTATACAGCTGTTTATATGTCCTATTCTCATCATCTTTCCTTCAGGTAGGTCCAGTTTTCAAAACAGATTTGTGTTCTGTGCTCACACAGACAGAAGTGACTGGCTTGCTCCAAGCCAAGTTAATCCCACAGCAGAGATGGAACCTTTCCCAACACCCCTTCCTCTAATGCCTAGATTCAAGTTCAAAACGCGCCTGATAAAAACAAGGGTAATTTTGGGAGGTTAATGATTGGTCAAATGCCTCCAAGCAAGCCAAGCACAAAGAGGAGCTCCTGCCTCTTCCTGGAGGCCTAGGAGAATTCTAACACAGGGTTGTTTATAAATATTACCAGATTTTGCCCAGGGCAGATGGATCTAAGCTCTCTGGACAGTCTCTTCCCAGAAAGGTGTTCCAGATTGTGCCTCACACAATCCTGCTCCACACACCCACCATCATTCTCAGTTCCATGTCCCTTACAAGAACATAGGATATAAAATGAAATACCAGCATGATTTGTGGACTGCATTTATCCCCTACATCTTAGCAGATTCTGAAATCAACATTACATTGCATTGTAAAATACTTAAAGAGTCGTTATTTTAACTTGAAAAAGGAGGACACAGACATGTTCCAAATGGGTTGCTACACTTGGCACACCCCACTCCCAAAATGCTGTACTGTCAATAATTCTTTACAAGAATAGTTTTTTAAAGGCATATAATTGTAATGCACTAAAGAATTCCTTAGCAGGCCAGGGCCTCCTGAAGTTATCTAGCCCATCTCTCAGCTCCAGGAAAGCCCTCCCTTTCAGACAACTATCCCAGTCACACAAAGCAAGCCAGATCTGTGGGATGAGGATTCAAGATAAATTAGGTCAAAGAATAAGCCTCTGGAAAAGCAAGAGTTTTCATAAAAATGGAAGCCTATGCTCAGCCTGCTCAGGCATTAGTAAATGTGGGAGAGGCTGACGGCAACTTAATGGTCTAATAAAATGTTTACACAGGGCGAAGGATTCTTACAGACAAACATTGCCTGAGATCAGCAGACAATTTGCTGGGGTCTGGAGATCCTATTATTAGGCAGATCTCACTGTGATGGCATTAATTGTGGGAGGGAACACACCCTCACCCTCATCACCCTGGGACTCTTCCTCAAGGGCACCCCCGCAGCAGGAGTCCAGCCTTGCTCTTCCCCTCATTAGGCTCAACTTGGCACCCTCTTTCCCTCCCTCCATCTCTGCACTGCTCAGAGGCACTGAAAAGGGGGCTTCTGTGTTTGTCTCCTCAGTAGACTGGGCAGGGGTCTTCCCAGATACATCTGAGTCCCTGAGCTCCACACAGGGCCTACATGGCCCAGAGGAGGGGTCCAATAATGTTCAGGTGACCAGATGAGTGAGCATACAAATGAACCAATCAATAAATGATTAAACAAGGGGATAACTGAATGAAGGAAGGGTGCCTATCCTCACTTTAATTAATTTTAACTAGTTCCTTCAACTAGTTAAAATTCCTTCAACTTTTTGAGCACCAACCTTATATCAAGTCACACAGAATTAGTAAACAGTGAATCAAATCTGCCTTATAACCTACAACTTCACAACTTCAGTTTGAACAACTCTTCTAGGGAAGCCCGTCACGCAGCAGACAAAAGTACCTAATGGGGAAGTGTAACAATTGGGCTCCTTTCTTTTGTATTATCATCCAGGTAAATAAGTCTTTTATAATTCAGTTTTGAACCATTCTGTCACTTGATCAGGCAAAAATGGCTGGGTGGGTCTCAGTGAAGCACCAACTTGGGAGGGTCTCACTGAGCTCGGGAGGGTCTCACTGACGCACAGACTGCTCAGCACACTTACCATGCCCTGGGGAAGGCGGCATCCCAGGAGGGAACCAACACACATCCTGCTGCTGTCCAGGCACTGTGCAACCTGGCTTTGAACGTGGAGATGCTCCCAGGAAAGGAGTGGCTGGGAGCATCGTATTTGTTAATAAGAGATATTGATTCTTAAGAGCAACCCTAGGGAGGCCAGCTGAACACAGAGTAGTTAGACACTGTGACAAACAGCAAAACTCTGAAAGAACCCTACCTCAGACACAAGGAGAGAGAGGGAAATACCTAATCTTACGGCAAGCTAAAACAAGCAAGGAAATTCTGCCAAAAATTAAGAAATAAATGTCATAATTAAAGCAATACAAATATCAGTAACCATAGCAATAATAACAGTTAATATTTATTGAGAGTTGACTATGCAACAGGCTTTGTGTTAAGTACTTTACATACTAATTCATTAATCCTTACAATGACTGTCATAAGTACATACAATATTATTATCCTTATTTTACAGATAAGAAGCTGAGGTAAAAAGTGGGTAAGTCACCAGCTTAAGATCCCAAAACAAGCAAGTGATGGAGCCAGGATTCAAGTAGTATGGTGCTAGAATCTGTGCTCTTAATAGTTTTATTCCGTGACACTGTCCAGAATCTTCTATATTCCTTCCTTACAAAAGTTAACCACTGTTTACAAAGGACTTGTTCCTTGGGAATACATCACTTAATCTTAGAATATGCAAGTCACTGAGAAAATAGGACTCACTTCACAGAGCTGCTTTGCAGCCCACTTAGAGAACTATCTAATACAATACTCCTATAAATAACTCTAGTGTTTCATTTACATTTGGTAACCATGTTTCCTGTTAAGAATTCCTGGGATTATTGATTTATTCCAAAACCAGGTTTCCTATCTAATGGAATGCCAAGCTTGATATTCAACTGGCCAAGTATAACAGTGGCTCAATTATTAAATCAATAAGATAGGTGGTATCAATTAATGGATTATCCTGGAAACTTCTGTTACAACTTTATCCTCAAAGCTCACACTCACTCCAAAATGTAGATATCCTCATGTTGCATGATAAAAAAAGGTAGATACTGCCTGGGAAAAGTCCACCAGCTTTGAGGGCTAGCAGACCTGGCTCCAGCCTCGTTTCTGCCCCTACTCATGTCACCTGCAGCAGATGATTTACTTCCTACAGACCTCCATCTCCTCAGTGCTGTGGACTCACACCTAACACATGCAGGTGATCTAGCCCAGTGCCCGCACACAAGGGAGGTGGCTGACAGTGCTGGCTGACATTTGCCTTCCTTATTCCTGGACTTGTGTCCATCCCCTTCCTCTGCCATCGCCAACACTCATCATCTTCCTCTGCCCAGGTGGAAACAATGACATCACTTTAAGGAAATAGCCTATCATGATTTAAGATCATGAATTAGAACACACCTGAAGGGAAATGTGAATGGCTTGGACTTTGCCATGATATAAGCATCACTAAATGGATAAAAATCAAATCACTTCCGTCAACAAATTCCATTAGGAAGTTGCTGATGAAACAAAGACTTTGCCATTCCTGCTGTTTCACAAATTGTCTCAAATTGCCAACATTTGGGTGTAACCATTCATTTATACTATCTACAATCTGTATTCTACCAACTGATTGATCCATGGGCCAAATAATCCATTCCTGGAAAATAAAAATCTACATGAACATGTTAAAACCATGTTAAAAAATATATTGGGTGAGGCTGAGGTAATGTTTAGAGGGAAATTTATAGCTTTTTATGTTTAATATTCAAAAAAATCAATCAGTATAATTCCCCACACTAACGGAATGAAGAAGAAAAACTATAAAATCATTTCAGTGGATGCAGAAAAAGCACTTGACAAAATTTAACAACCACTCCTGATAAAACCATTCACCACACTAGGAACAGGAGGAATTTCCTCAACACAGTAAAGGATGTGTATGGAAAAACCCACAGCTAACACCATACTTACTAGAGAAATATGAAATGATTTGTCACCATGATCAGAACGAGGCAAGGATGTCCACTCTCACCACTTCTACTCAACATTTTACTGGAAGTTGTAGCCAGTGTAATAAGTTAAGAAAAAGAACATAAAGGTTAGAAAAAGGTATAAAGAGTAGAAACAAAGAAGTAAAACTATCTTTATTCTTAGCTGACATGATTTTTTATGTAGGAAATCCTAAGGAGTCTATAAAACAACCACTAGGACTAATAAGAAGGTTTAGCAAGGTTGCAAGATACAAGATGAATATACATAAACTAATTATGTTAATATATTAGCAACAAATTAAAAATATCATTTATGATAGCATCAAAATACATAAAATACTTAGAAATAAATTTAACAACATATGTACAAGACCTCTATACTAAAAACTTAAAAATACATAAGTGAAGAGATGTGCTAAGTTCATAGATTGGAAAACTCAATATTGTTAAGAGTCAGTTTTCCCTCGATTGAGCTATAGTATAGATTCAATGTAATCCCAATCATAATCCCAGGATTTATTTTTTTTGTAGAAATTGAAAAGCTGCTTCTAAAATTTATATGGAACTACAAAGGATCAAGAATATTCAAAGCAATACTGGAAAAGAACAAAGTTGGAGGACTTACACTACTTGACTTCAAAACTTACTTTATAAAGCTACTAATAAAGACAGTGCGATATTGGTGTGAAGACAGACAAACAAATCAAAGTACAATAGAGTCCAGAAATAGACCTACACTTAAATGGTTATGTGATTTTTCACAAAGGCAACAAAACAATCTAAAAAACTTTTCAAGAAATGATGCACTGGAATAAATGAATAGCCATACGGAAAAAAATCTACTTTGACCCCCATCTCACACCACATACAAAAACTAATTCAAGATAGATTACAGGACTAAATGCAAACGCTAATGTCATTAAGCTTTTTAGAAGGAAACTGAGTAGAATGTCTTCATAACTTGGTGGTAAGCAAAGTTACTTAGAACATAGAAAGCAGTAACTACAACAGAAAAAAGTGATAAATTAGACTTCATCAAAACTTTTGGTTATCAAAAGACACCATTAAGAAAACAAATAGGTAAGCCATAAATTGTCAGAAGGTATTCACGACACATATATCTGACAAAGGACTGATAAGTAGGTTAAAGAACTCCTATAACTCAACAACAAAATAATTTTTTAAAATCTAATAAAAAATAGGCAAAAGATTTGAAAGCTGCTTCACAAAAGAAGATCTACAGATAGCCAATAAACACATTAAAAAGTATTCAATGTTATTAGTCATCAGAGAAATGCAAAATAAAACCACAATTAGATACCACCACAGGATCTCTGCTATGAGATTCTTTTTTTTTTTTCTTAAGCACACCCAGAACTCTGGGTCAGAGATGCCTCACTTCCCATCTCCTATCTCTGCCCCATCCTGTATGTGTACTCATTACCTAGTACCCTGGCAGGAAAGTGAGTGTAGAGCAATTAGAGAGCATGGTGTTGCCCAAAGTATAGGACATACCCTGCCAGATTTTAGGTGACACACACTTTTTTTATTATGGTAGTTAGGTATTTATTTTAATATGCACTGAAGGAAAATGGAATTAGTATTTTAAACTCATTATTTCAAGGCTAATATTACTTAGGAGAAGGTTAAATAAATAGTCTGTTTAAAGTAAACATAATAATAATACTAATAAAGGTGGTGCATGGATAAGATGAAAATTGCAAAGGTGGGGACTGTGACCAACTCAAGTCCAGGATCACCAGCAGCACAGATCACCAGCAGTTAACTACATAATCAACAGCAAACTGTCCCATTCTAGGGCTGTGGGGAACTTTAACTTCTCTCTTCATTGAGCCCTCCACTTGACCCTACAGTGTCACATTCACACAAGTGACCACAGATGTCCTGAAAAAAAGACATCCTAATGAGACAATCTGGGTGGTGTAAAACCAGGACTCTGATTGCAAAGAACAAAGGCTTATTCCATAACAGTCTCACGATTGTTCTGCGGGAAACCTGCATCCAATTCATTTTTGCCCAATTCCATACTGCCAGACATAATTCTCCCCATCGTTTCAGCTAGCATTCTTTCCTTACCTGCCCAAGGCATGGCTGGGGATCTGTAAAAACATGGCCATAAAGAGATTCATGTTAGAAGGCTGGGCGCGGTGGCTCATGCCTGTAATCCCAGCACTTTGGGAGGCCGAGGTGGGCGGATCACCTGAGGTGGGGAGCTCGAGACCAGCCTGACCAACATGGAGAAACCCCATCTCTACTAAAAATACGAAATTAGCCGGGCATGGTGGCACATGCCTGTAATCCCAGCTACTGGGGAGGCTGAGGCATGAGAATCACTTGAACCTGAGAGGCGGAGGTTGCGGTGAGCCAAGATCGCGCCATTGCACTCCAGCCTGGGCAACAAGAGCAAAACTCCATCTCAAAAAAAAAAGAGATTCATGTTAGAGTTTGGAGAAAGATTTCCTTGTGTTACCGCCACAGAACTGGAGGTCTGGCTCATAGCAGACGGACAATAAATATATCCAGAGTGAAAGCTGACTGATCTTGAAGCTAGACTTTTCAAATTCAAGTTTATAAGCCCAGGTGTGTATGATGGTGTCAGGCACAGAAAGTCGTAAGATAAACGTAGCCCTGAGATTTTAGACAAAGCTTTACTTTTCCTCGGTGGTAACTCACTTAAAATAATATTTTTAGGCTGGGCACGGTGGCTCACGCCTGTAATCCCAGCACTTTGGGAGGCCGAGATGGGTGGATCACCTGAGGTCAGGAGTTCAAGGCCAGCCTGGCCAAAGTGCCAAAACGCTGTCTCTACTAAAAATATAAAAATTAGCAGGGCGTGGTGGCGTGCGCCTGTAATCCCAGCTACTCGGGAGGCTGAGGCAGGAGAATCACTTGAACCTGGGAGGCAGAGGTTGCAGTGAGCCAAGATCTTGCCACTGCACTCCAGCCTGGGCAACAGAGTGAGACCCCATCTCAAAAAAAAAATTATTTTTATAAAACAGACAACCAGTATGACTTTTTTGCAGGGAGGGGCAATTTGGCAATACTTTTTAAAATGCAACTGCCCCAACAATTTCCAATTCTAAGACAGAAACTTGCAGAAACACTTCTACAAGGTGCAAAGAGATTACGTTCACCTAGCAAAAGACTGGAGACACCAAAAACATCCATTAAAAGACTGGTTAAATGGTAAATAGACACAAGGGAATATCCTACAGCCACTAAACAGAGTGAATTTGAACTCTCTGAACTCATGCTCCAAGACATTGCTAAGCAGAGGGAAAACAAAATGCAAAATAGCAGATGTAGTATAGCCCCACACTTAACTTTAAAAACAAATTTTAAAGTGACAATACTAATAGACTAACATAAGCATAAATATACATATATGTGGACAAAGTCAGATGAATAGGCACCAACCCTCTGTTAACATCACCGTAAAGGGGTGAGGAGGCTCTTGCATTCTCTGAAGGCATTTATAAAATGCTGGAGTCATAGAAGCTTTGTAGTGAGAAAAAAGGTTTAAAAACAAACAGGGTGTGTTGACATGTAAAAATGCACAAAAAATGCACACACTTGAAAAAACATACACACAGGCCAGGTGTGGTAGCTCAAGCCTGTAATCCCAGCACTTTGGGAGACCGAGGCAGGCGGATCACCTGAGGTCAGGAGATGGAGACCAGCCTGGTCAACACAGTGAAACCCTGTCTCTACTAAAAATACAAAAATTAGCTGGGTGCGGTGGCGCATGCCTATAGTCCCAGGTACTCAGAAGGCTGAGGCAAGAAAATCGCTTGAACCTGGGAGGTGGAGGTTGCAGTGAGCCAAGATAGTGCCACCGCACTCCAGCATGGGCGACAGGGTGAGACTCCACCTCAAAAAAAGAAAAAAAAACAGAAAGTCTTTAAGAAAAAAAAAACACACATATGAAAAAATGTCTCCTTCCTGGCCTTCAGACCTGCACCTCCACATCCAAGTGATAGGTTCCCTCCCTCTGCATTGTGTGGCTCTTCACAGAAAGGTGCCAGCAACACTCTTAAAGACCATTCTTTTTGTATGCAAGGAGCCTTCTTCAGAAAGGAATGTCCCCAGTGTCTCTGCAAAAGAGAGGATGGTTTCCTAATGCTCCCTGTCAGCCAAGCTCATGGCCCTGTCACTGGTTTTTACATCCAGCATTCTCTGGCTGGCCTTGTGCAAGAAGACACTGAGAACCACATGTGCTGCCGGAAGAGTGCCCTTTCTGAAATGGAAGATGTTGTTGTGTTCTGAGCTTTCTGGTTGTGTTTTAAGGGGGTTGGGGTGAAGATCCTTTCTTGGGACTTTTGCTTTTAGACACACATATACATAATTCAACCACAAGAACTACTTCTCAGGAAGAAATGCTAAGAGGCACTGTAAGATGTAAACTTATTAAGCCTAAGCAACTCAGAAACGGTACAAGTCTACCAAATTTGAAAATGGGGAGAGAATGGAACGGAGGCACTCCACTCCAGAGCTATGTAAAAATAGTTTTGGCAAAGTTCAAATGATTGCTGGAGGCAAGAAGAGCTGACCTCTCTTCTCCTTCCCTTTCATCCCCCCCTTGCCTACCCTGAAACAACATCACTCAGGGCTACAACCATCTGTAGCTGTCAGGGGAAGCCACAGTACATTCAGAAAGTCTTGGACCCACGTATCCCTGAGCTCGGAACTGCACAAACAAAAGGTTAAGGGAAGGGGGATGGGGTAAAGGGAATAAAGGCTTAAAGATTAAAGTCACAGGCAGAGACAGACGGCTCAGTTTTTTAATAACTGAAAACACGAGTCGGGTCTGAATGTGTCCATTGTTTAGCAGAGAGGGCAATCTATGCAGGCAGGACTGGCTGGCGACAGGACTGCCTTCCCATCAGAAATAAGATTTACCAAAACCGGGGGACCTGGGGCAGACCTCAACCCTGAGCTCCATTTACTGATGATGATGCAGAACACAGCATCCAGGTGAGAATCAGATTGTTGCTACCCTGGGCCATGACAAGAAACGGGGCTTGAAAGAAAGAGGCCAGTCAGTCATGGAGTCAGTGGCACTGGTCTTCTCGTACCGTTAATGGTGGGAGTGTAGATTGGTACAGCCTTCTGAGAAGAAATTGGATCAGAGATGTAAAAATGCGTATTTCCGGCCGGGCGCAGTGGCTCACACCTGTAATCCTAGCACTTTAGGTGGCCAAGATGGCCAGGTCACTTGAGGTCAGGAGTTCGAAATCAGCCTGGCCAATATGGTGAAACCCTGTCTCTACTAAAAATACAAAAAAATTAGCTGGGCGTGATGGCATGTGCCTGTAATCCCAGCTACTTGGGAGGCTGAGGCAGAAGAATTGCTGGAACCCGGAAAGCAGAGGTTGCAGTGAGCCGAGATCGCACCACTGCACTACAGCGTGGCAACAGAGCGAGACTCCGTCTCAAAAAAAAGAAAAACAAAATGCGTATTTCCGCCTCCAGGATTCTAGCCCCAGCAAATAATCCAACCTAGGACAGACCCTGATGCACTAAGATATTCTATGCAGAATGATTCACAATAGCAAGAAATCAGAAACAACCTAAACAACCAACACTAGAGGGAATAGTCAGTGTTTATTTATTTATAATCTGCCTTACTGCAAAAACGATGTAAAGCAACTTACAAAAGTACACAGAACAAAGAGGAAAAATGCAAAAGAAGAAATCACAGCAATAAGAGAAAAAGAAAGTATTCATTTAAAAAACGAGGCCAGAGCTGGGCTGCAAATTCTTAACATACTGCGAGCATCCAAACTCTCCCTAGAGGAGCCACAAGACAAAGCTGCCACTGCTGTCACCAATAATAATAATGGCAACTATTTGCTGAGTGCATGCCCCACACTGTGCGAGGCTCTTTGAGGTCTCTCAGTAACCCAAGGTACTGTCATTCAGTCTCCCTTCTGCAGACAAGGAGACTGAGGTTCCAGAGGCCATCGAGTGCCAGTAAGTGACAGACACAGGTTTGGGTCACATTTCTTCAAGTCAGAGCTTATATGCTTTCCACACAACCAAACACTTAAATTGTGTATTCATACAATGGAACTCCTGCAGGCATGAAAAAATGATGTTTACAGAAAGTGATTAATGGCATGGGAAAAATGTTTAGGATATAATGTTAAATTTAAAAGCAGCCAAAAAAAATTACATGAAATGTTTAATTTCCATCAAGTAAACCAGATGATTATTATTTTCTTCCTTATACTGTTATTACCCAAAGTTTCTAAAATAGGTCTGTATTAGTTTTATAATCAGAAAAAAGTGACTTTGTATTTAAATATATATAAAGGGCCACTGTATTTGTATCACAGCACACATCCCATGATACGCACAACAACTCACTTTTGTTTTAAATAAAAATCTTACATATATAGTAGAATCAGAAAATACACATGCCAAATCTTGAGCAAGGAAAATCGTGTGTTTCTTGTGTTTATGTTCATCATTTAATTGATCATAAACGAATAATTTCATTTGGCTCAGAACCTTGTCTTTGCAGTTTTTTGGAGTTATATATGTCAGAAGACAATTATTATAAATTGGTTTCATTTCCTTTTTATTTTCCTCTTCACATACAGACTCTCACACAATCAAACAGCAGAGAGTCACAGACACACTGTCTCAGGCCTTCCTCCTGGCTACAGCACTGACCCACACACGTGGACAAGGGCCCCGTTTTGCAGGCCCTCGCAGAAAGGCGGTGGGGGCAATACCCACAGGGTCATGCCATTGCCCAAGTCTAGCCAGGCCACGGTTGCTTCTTGAAGAGCAGTTCTTCATCTTGGGTCCAAACACTTCCTGAAATAGTTATATGCGTTCTGTTTGGGAGAAGGGCCAGAGCTCTCCCCAGTTTCTCAAAGAGCTCTCTAATCACTAATCTAGACATGCCAGTCTCACTCTTGCCATGAAGTCTGGGACAAATCCCTTGTCTCTACCATCTTGACCTCAAGCCCAAGCCCCAACCTATCTTCCAAGGATATTATATAGGAAGGTTTAGCCACTGAAAACTGACAGAGGGAAACACTTATGCAATAACTACACTTGTGAATGGGAGGCGCCTTCATCTCCATTATGGAGAGAGGAGACGAGGCTCAGCAGAGGTTCGCAGAGCCTGGATTCCCCTGTGTCTGTCAGGTCCCACACATTCCGCCAGATAAAATGCATCTGGTAGACGACAGTGGCTCCAAGTTTGGCTTTGGAGTGTCCTTTTATCTGCTGATCACCAAATACTGTGCTCAGCTGCAGACACAGGCCTGGTTTTCTATTATGAGACAAAAGAATAATGATTTTCCAAGATCTATTTAATTATTTCTTTAAAACTTGCCCCCTCCATTGCCATGGTGTTAATCACCCACATTGAGAGCTACCTTTCAGCACTGTGCAGCAATGGCAAGTCAGCTGTGTTTTGATTATCTGAAAGAAGGAAAAAATATTTTAAATGCTTTAATATTTAAACAAATAGAAGGCAGATTTCTTTCATGTTTCCTCAACTCCTAAAGCCATAGAACAGCCTGGGCCCTAAATTTGAAAATGAGTTCAGACTAAAAGAAGTATCTCAAACTACCACCAGACTTTAGGCGAAGATCGTGTAAAATATTAATTGTACTGCTGCTACTGGAAACCAGCCACAGTGCTCGGGTGGGAGAAGGGGAGGGGTGGGAGGAGGAGAAAAGCAGCACTGGCTGACCAGCTCCAAGAAGGAGGAGCGAGGAGGGAGGAGGGTAACTATTCAACTAATAATGTTCATTGTAGAAATTTTAGAAAATAACATTGGGAAAGAAAAAGCCTTGGGGAAAAAAAATTCTTTATAAAAGGAAATTAAAAGTCACCTAGATCTTAGCCCCTAATGTTAGCTACTGTTAACATTTAATGTCTTTCTTTCTAGTCTTTTTCTTGCACATATGTATTTTGTATATTACTGAACTCAAAAAGAATTCCTTGCCCTGCTTTTTTTCACTTAACATATGTAGGATGACTTTTCACATTTTTAAATTTTCTTCATAAATATCATTTTAAAGAAGGGTGCACAAAGTACCTTATTTTGCTTCATTTGGGTGGCTCCCAATTTTTTGCTCTTATAAATAATGCTGTGAAGAACATTTTTGTGCATAAAGCTCTGGCTCATTTCAGATTATTCCCTGAAAGAGGAATTATGAAATCACAAAGCAGAACTTATTTCAGGATCCAGATAGATTTCCCAGAATTAGTTCCCTGAAAGGCAGGGCCAAGCTGAAGTTCTCTAATAACTTATTGTTAAAACAACCATCCCAGTCCCATCCAGCCACTGCTGCACCCTGCCACCCCAAAAGCATCTGACCTGCAGATGCCTCCCAGAGGAGCCTTTTCCATCCTGTGCTGGGAAAAAGAACAATGGCCTCAGGACAGCACAGATCCTCAATCCAGGTGGGAGCTCAGCACCCTCCAGCTGGGAAGGCTGTGGTGTCCAAGCTCTCCGGAAGTCCCAAGAGGCTCAGACACCTCCCAGCCTTATTTTCTCCATTAAAAACACCATGTGGGCACCCTGTCTTTTTTATGAGCTGAAAAGATTTCACGTCCCAAGACGGAAGAGAGGAGAAATTGGGGTGCAAAACTTACCTCCACACCAGGAATATTGGGTAAGTGCAGCCTTTGTGGCAGCTTAGCTTTATGTCATTTTTGGTTGGGTTTTTTCTTCTTCATTCAAGTTGGGGGATGGGGGAAGATGGTCTTCCCTCTATCCCCCAAGATAAGATTTTACTTGCACAGAAAACCGCTACTCAGCCTTCATGGCTCATTCTCACTTAGATAACTATACTGTTTCTCTTCCCTTCTGTCCTCCCATGCCAGAGGAAAAACACATCTGCTGATATCAGAGTCCCTCCTCCTCTGGAGGGAGGAAGGCAAAGAGAGGGACAGCCGAGCAACTAGGAGAAATGGCTTTGGAGTTGTACAAGTTATGTCCAAATCCTGGCCTGCGGATTAGTGTGTGATCCTAGGCAAGTCACTTGCCATTGCTGAGGCTCAGTAATGGGAACTGATGATGTGGTCCTTACAGGGTCATGGTAAGGATCACAGAAGGTGACATTTGTAAAACACATAGGTATGGTGGCTGCTACAAAGCAAATAAGTCAATTCATTTTTAAATAATATTTTAGAATCATTATTACCACCCAAATGACCAGGCAAATGATCATCTGAAGGGAAAAAATTACGTAACTGGATAAATGAATGAATGCAGAAAAATGGGCCCTTGCCAATAGTCAGGCTACAGGCAGAGGGCAGCCCCTCCCCCGAAGTGCCAGTAGGTTAGCTCTGTCACAGCCACAGGAGCCTGCTCTGCAGAGAGCAACACCCTCTCAGATGCACCCTGCTGGAAAACAATGGTGAGCCCTTGCCTCCTCTGCCTCCCTTGGAGGCTGGTCTGGAGGGCACTTTCTTTCTGGGGTATGTGGCTATACAATAGGACCTGTGTCTGAGCCCACTGGTTTAGAGCATCCCCTGATTCCCCCAAGTCCTGAGAGGGGAACTTCAGTGATACATAAGGACAGCATAAGTGAAGTCTGGGGAGTCCCACTCCTTGGGAGGAGGACACAGTCACTAACAGCAAGGTCCCTGAGTGTGGCCACCCTGCAGAGGATTCATGCAAGCCGTCCCATTTAACCCTGAAGGGACATGATGGAATTCCCATGTTGTCACGTAAGATCATGTAGCTGGTAAGGGACAGTGCCAACATTTGAACCCAGGCTCTAAAACCCAGGCTCTTTTCTACCAGTGCTGTACAGTCCCTGTTTAAAGCAAGCAGATGCCCCCCTGCCCTGAAGCTTGGATAGTCTCCAGAAAGAAAAATACCTGTTAGGATGCTTTACACATTATTACTACTACCCACCAATTTCAAGAATGTCTTCCTTTTCTACCCAAGTAGACTAAAAGTATTGGGGGTGGGAGGTGTCTTCTGTATCTTTTCTGTACCTCCTCCCCCAACAAATATATGCTCCTCCTTCCAGTATCACAGGTGTCCAACAAATACTGTGGAAAGAGTTAATCAATCAATTAACTGAATGAAAGGGGTCAAAAGACAAAGAAGTTAAATAGGAGAGGGGAAGAAAAAGACAAGCTACAGATAAAATTGGCAGAAGAGTGTAAGCACTATAAAAATACGTTTGTGAAGTCCAGGAAGAGTCCTGATCTTCTGGGGTAATGTTCTAGGTGTCACAGTAGCAGGCAGCCAGGGTGACAGGAAAGAAAGTGATTAGGAAACAGCCAGCTGAAGCTCAAGAGCCCAGCTCGGAACCCCACAGGCACAGCCTTGAATGAATCTGCAGGAGAAGAGCGGGTCCAGGGCCTGCTGCAGCCACCATGGTCTCTAAGCACGCAGAGAAAAATCGGGAAAGGGGCACACCTGAGAACCAGCAGGCTTCTCACACCCAACCGTGTCAGGTTCACATGGCAGCCTGGAGAGAAACGAGGCATCAGCCCTGTTTTACAGATGGATAGGTTGAGACCCGGAGTGAAGTCACAGCCAAGGCCACACAGAATTCTGCCAGGCTGGTAAGACATTTGCACACTGCACCAGCCACCACTCCAGGGTCAGCTCCATCATTTCTACTCCATCACAATGCCACACACAATATTACTTAATATTTTTCTTTAAATAACTAATTTTGCCCTGCCCTGTTTTATAAAACCCACTTTTTTCCCTTAAAGGAACATTGATACCACTTTATCCAGTAATTCCTCTCCTAGGTATAGGAATTCTCGAAGGACTTGAAAACAAGAATCAAACAGATACCTAGACACCAATATTCAAGAAGCACTATTCACAACAGGCAAAAGGTGGAAACAACCCAAGTGCCCATTAATAGATGGAGGGAAAAACAAAATGTGGTCTATCGATATGCTGGAATATTATCTTTCCCTTAAAAGGGAAAGAAATTCTGATCCATGATACAACGTGGATGAACCTTGAGGACATTATGCTAAATGAAATAAACCAGCCACCAAGCCTGTATGATTCTGCTTATATGAGTTCCCTAGAGTAGTCAAATTTATAAACAAAAAGTAGAATGGTGGATGCCAGGGGCTGGGAGTAGGGAGAATGGGGAGGTAGTGTTTAATGGGTACAGAGTTTCAGTTTGGGGTGATGGAAAGTTAGAAATAATAGTGGTGACAGTTGCACAACAATGTGAATCTACTTAATGCCACTGAATTGTACATTTAAAAATGGGAATGGTAAATGTTATATATTTTTTACCATAATAAAAAAAATACCCCCAGGCCAGGCACAGTGAGCTGAAGTCTAAGCTACTCAAGAGGCTAAGGTGGGAGGATTGCTTGAGCCCATGTTGCAGTGAGCTAAATGATCATGCCACCACACTCCAGCCTGGGCAAGAGAATGTGACCCATCTATAAAATAAAATAATTTTTTTAATTTTGTAAACAAATAAATTTAAAAATAAAAAATAGCCCCCCAAAAAAGGAAACTTTATATGGCAGCCATAGATGAAACCACGACATGGCAATATTAGAAGGCAACCATTAAAAATATACATATCAAGCTATGTTGGTATACAACCATGCATTGCTTAATGATGAAGATACATTCTGAGAAATGTGTCATTAGGCAATTTCATCTTTGTGCAAACATCATAGAGAGCACTTACACAAACCTAGATGGCAGAGCCTACCACACACCTAGGTTGTGTGAAATAGCCTATTGCTCCTAGGCTACAAACCTGTACATTTAAAAATGGGAATGGTAAATGTTATATATTTTTTACCATAATAAAAAAAATACCCCCAGGCGAGGCACAGTGAGCTGAAGCAGGTGACTGTACTAAATACTGCAGGCAATTGTAACCCAGTGGTATCTGTGTACTTGAACTGTATCTAAACATAAAAAAGGGACAGTAAAAATACAACATAAAAGATTAAAAAGGGTACCCCTGTATAGAGTACTTAGCATAAATGGAGCTTACAGGACTGGAAGGTGTTCTGGGCGAGTCAGTGAGTGAGTGGTTGAGTGAATGTGAAGGCCTAGGGCATGACTCTGCACTCCTGTAGGCTCTACAAACAATGGACACTTAGACAACACTAAATTTATAATAAAAACATTTTTCTTTAATAATAAATTAATCTTAGTTCACTATAACTTTTTTACTTTATAAACTTTAAAATTTTTTAACTTTTTGACTCTTGTAATAACACTTAGCTTAAAACACAAACACACTGTACAGCTGTATAAAAATATTTTCTTTCTTTATATCCTTATTCTATAAGCCTTTTTCCATTAAAAACTTTTTTCTTTTACTTTTTAAACTTTTTTGTTAAAAACTAAAACACAAACATGCACATTAGCCTAGGCCTACACAGGGTCAGGATCATCAACATCACTGTCTTCCACCTCATACATCTTGTTCCACTGGAAGGTCTTCAGAGGCAGTAACATGCATGGAGCTGTCACCTCCTGTGATGACAATGCCTTCTCCTGGATACATCCTGAAGGACCTGCCTGAGGCTGTTTTACAGTTAATTTTTGTTGTTAGAAGTAGAAGGAGCGGCTGGGCATGGTGGCTCATGCCTGTAATCCTAGCACTTTGAGAGGCTGAGGCGGGTGCATTGCCTGAGCTCAGGAGTTCGAGACCAGCCTGGGGGACATGGTGAAACCCCGTCTCTACTAAAATACAGAAAATTTGCCAGGCATGGCAGCATGCACCTGTAGTCCCAGCTACTCAGGAGGCTGAGGCAGGAGAACTGCTTGAATCCGGGAGGTGGAGGTTGCAGTGAGCCAAGATCGTGCCACTGCACTCCAGCCTGGGCAACAGAGCGAGACTCCATCTCCAAAAAAAGACACAAAAGGAAGTAGAAGGAGGCTGGGCACAGTGGCTCATCCTAGCACTTTGCAATGCCTTGGCAGGTGGATCACTTGAGCCCAGAAGTTCGAGATCAGCCTGGGCAACATGGTGAGACCCCCGTCTCTACAAAATAAATACAAAAACTAGCTGGGCATGGTGGTGAGGACCTTAGTCCCAGCTACTCAGGAGGCTGAGGTGGGAGGATCGCTTGAGGCAAGGCGGCAGAGGTTGCAGTGAGCTGAGATGGTGCCACTGCACTGCAGCCTGGAAGACAGCCAGACCCTGGCTCGGAAAAAAAAAAAAAAAAAGAAAAGAAGTCGAAGGAGTACACACTAAAATAATAACAAGTCTAGTATAGTAAAGACATAAACCAGTCATGTATTATCATAATAGGTACTATAAGTAACTATATGTGCTATAAGACTGAGCACAGTAGGTTTGGTTACACCAGCATCACCACAAACACCTGAGTAACCTGCTCTATGATGTTACCACAGCTATGACAGCACTAGGCTATAGGAATTTTTTGGCCCCACTATAATCTTATGGGACCACCATCATATATACCTTCCATCATTGACCTAAGCTGTCATTATGCATTGTGTGAATGGAGTTTTGTCTTCTGCGAGGCGCTTGTCAAGGAGGGAGATGAGCAATGTCCAGAGAACCAGTGCTCACAGGCCTCCTCCTCCACATGGCCAGAGGGGCTGCCCACGGACTGAGAAAGGAAGGACTTGCTCAGCAGATGATTCAGTGTCACTTGATCTGGGCAGCCCCTAATAGCAGTGCCTGTCTTGCTGTGCTGGAAGTATCCAACTTTGGGAGCCCCCCCCATGTAAAGGTACTGGGCACCGAGGCTGGGCTCCATCAGTGCCTGGGGGTCTACCCCTACCTGTCCAACTCCCCTACAGACTCACAAGGGAGGAAAGGCAGTCCATGCTGAACCATCCTTTGCACACAATAGCCCCTCTATCAAACTCCCAGGTGAGCGGGGCTGGAGGACAACAGGTGGGCAAGGCTGGGAGGGGAATCCAGTAAGATCACCATGCCCCCTCAGGCACAGGGCTCCCAGGCAGAAAGGAACCAGGAACCCTGGGAAAGGAGGGTGGTGCCAGCAAACTTTGCAGATGAGGCAGCCCCGGCAAAGAGGGGCTGCTGGAAACCTACTTTGCTTGTACAGTCAAAATATACAAGAACATTTAGAAATAGTCAATTAGATGCGATACTGTGGAACAATAATACCAACGGACTGGAGTGGAACACATTAGCTATGCATTCCAAATACCTGATTCCAGGGCCTGGTCTGCAAGGCAGATACTTTCACCATCTAGTACAAAGGGTCAACAATACCAAGGCCGCCAAACTTTTGCCTGAGGGCAACATGGCAGCTAGCCAGGAATCCAAAAGCTGCACCTGATTGGCATAAAACAAAGGCAAATGGACCCCCTTTCATCTACCCCACAAAAAAGAAGCCCTGGGGCTGCTGCATGCCTGCCACCCCCTCAGCCTGCCTGCCTGCCAGCCCTCATCATGATCGCAGCAGCATCCTCATCCCACACCCATACCTCATACCCATTCTGTTCCAAGTACCTCTTTCGTTCCCTGTCTCCTTGAAACTGCACTGTACCCTCTACCTAGAGCTAGTCTCCCAGTCTGGAGAGTCTATTTCCTAACTTGGGTTTCGGCCTTCCTTCCTTTCCATCCCTCCCTCATCACCCTAACCACTGGCACTGCCCTCCAAAATGGTCTCCTGGCCTCTCTCCCCTCCAACCCATCAATGCCAGGGTAAACTCTGTAAACCACAGACCTGTCTGCTGCCCCCAGAACAAAGTGTAAATGTTTTGGTCCAAGATACAAAGCCCTTCATAATCTGCTTCCAACCTGCTTCACCAGCTCACCATTGGCTGCTTACACTTGTGACCAATCACACAAGCCTTCTCTGGATTGTCCAAACCCTCCAAATCCTTCATACTTCTAGGCTCCCTGCAGTCAATGCCCATTTTCTGAAACTGAATCTCTCATTGCTACCAGGCAGACTTTAATCATCCATGAGGACTCCACACAAATGTCACTTTTTCTGTGAAGTCTTCCCTGACTCGCACCTCTGAAACCCTCTGGTGTATTGTATGGTCTTTGATGCACCTATCTCATATTCAGTACATCTGCTTTATGGTCTATCCCCTACCCTCCAACTCATTGAACAGTGAGTCCCAAGGGGCAGGGCCACCTTTTATCTGCCAGATGTTCTCAGTGCCTAACATTCAGAATGTCCTGCTCTCAGCAGGTGCTAAATGTACATTTGCAAAAGAAAAAAATAACAAAAATGACATCCACTCTTCACCAAGTGAACACATTCATTGATGAAGAATTTTTTTTTCTTACAAGTAACCAACTGGCTGAAGAATTGTAAACAAAAAGGAGGGTTTACAAGAAGGATTCCAGGTACCTCACAGAAGCTCTGGGAAAGCCCAGAAGCAGAACAGCTCCCAGCCTTCTCTCTGGTCTAGCACACTATTTCTATCAACATGCTGATTTCCAGAACTCCTAGTGTCCCTGCCTCTCTTTCCCTAGTTTCAAATTCCCACAGAAGAACTTGTTTAGTACATCTTGGCTCAGGTATCTATCCCTGAACCAATTAAATATCAATGGGGCTGGAGGCAGTCAGGGTGCCCGGGTTCAAATGTGGTCCCTGGGTACCCACTCCTGTATAGCAGAGTATTCAGAGATGGGAGACTTGCTGGGTAGCTACACCTTCCCAGTTGGGATCTCCAACATCTCATATTCATGTTCAAGGTTTGAAATGTTCAAAGTTTGAAATGTAATGGCATTATCAGTCTGAAAACCTGCTTCTACCACTCCTGTGGCCATGAGCCTCAGCACTGTCCTCAGACACTGTCCCTAGGGTGTGCCATGGAGCTCACACAGGAAGACAGGCTGGGAAGGTAAGCACAGGGATATCTGAGGAGTTGGAGAAACAGCCCTCCCCATGGCTCAGTAGCAATCTACTATTATTACCTAATCCCTAAGCCGCTGGGGGAAAATGTTTCAGAATTTAGAACTTTAAAAAAAAAATAGTTCAGAATAAGGCTAGACATATAAATCAATGAAATATTGAGAATCTAGAAAGAGACTTTCACATTTACAGTCAACTGATTTTTGTTAAGAGTGCCAACACAAATCAATAGAGGGAACAGTTTTTTTAACAAAAACTGGGACAACCAGATATCCACAAGCTAAAGAATTAAGTTGGACCTCTACTTCATGCCATATACAAAAATCAACTCCAAATAGATGAAAGACTTAAATGGAAGAGCTAAAACTATAAAACTGAGAAGAAAACATAGGTATGCATCTATGTAACCTTGGATTAAGCACTTATTTCTTAGATATGACACCAAAAGCACAAGCAACAAAAGTAAATAAATAAACTTGAATGTTTCAAAAATTAAAAGCTTCTGTGCTTCAAAGGACACTATCAAGAAAGTGAAAAGACAACCCACAGAATGGGAGAAAATATTTGCAAATCATATATCTGATAAGGAACTATCTAGAATATATTAAAAACTCTTATGAGTCAACAATAAAAAGCCAACTCAATTTTTAAACGAACAAAGAGCTGAATAGGCATTTCTCCAAAGAAGATATATTAACAACCACATGAAAAGATGCTAAATATCACTCACCATCAGGGAAATGCAAATCAAAATCACAATGAGATAGCACTTCACACCCACTAGGATGGATATGATCAGACAGACAGACAATAGCAAGTGTTGGTGAGGATGTGGAGAAACCAGAACCTTCATACATTGCTGTGAGAGTGAAAAATGGTGTACCAGCTGTGAAAAAGTTTGGCAGTTCCTCATAAAGGTAACATAGAGTTACCATATGATCCAGCAATTCCTGGGTATATTTATACCCAGGAGAACAGAAATGTATGTTTACACAAAAACATGTACATGACTCCTCATGGTAGCATTATTCATAATAATCAAAAAGTGAAAACAATCCAAATGCCTATCAACTAATGAATGGATTCTTTAAATGTGGTATATCCAGGCATGGAATATTATTCAGTCTTAAAAAGGAATGAAGTAGAGACTCAGGCTACAATATGGGTGAATCTAGAAATATTACACTGGCCAGGCGTGGTAGCTAACACCTGTAATCGTAGCACTTTGGGATGCTGAAGCAGGAGGATTGCTTGAGCCCAAGAGTTCAAGGCTGCAGTGAGCTATGATCATACCACTGCACTCCAGCCTGAGCAACAGAGCAAGACCTTATTTCAAAAAAAGAAAATATTACACTAAGTGAAAGAAGCCAGACACGAAAGGTCATAAAGTATATATAATTCCATTTAATTCACGTCATTGCACTCCAGCCTGGGTGATAAGAGTGAAACTCTGTCTCAAAAAAGAAAAAAAAAAAGTTTCTAAAAAAATATGATATGGTTGCACACAAAAGAATATTCTATTATAAATTAATGTCACAGAAAAAGTCTGTTTTATTGCTTAGTAAAAAGAAGGTATATATGAAGTGCTTCATAATATTAAGTTATAAAATGATGAATAAATTAAAATAATTATCCCCCCAAAAGATAATTCTGTACATACATAAATATATCATACATTATATAATACCCCAGCAGCGATGGGGCCATTCCCTATAATCAAACATTAAATATTCACACTAAATGGGAAAAATAAAAGATTCAGTCAGTTCAGATGGGGTTTTGCATCCAAACTCCAAAAAACTGCTTTCAGTTTACAGAGCTATTTGAATTTTCAAATTTATGGATAAGGTATGGCAGACTTGTATTTGTTTTTTTCCTTCTTTCAGGATCTCGCTCCGTTACCCAAGCTGGAGTGCAGTGACACAATCATAGCACACTGTAGCCTCAAACTCCTGGGCTCAAACAATCTCTAGCTTCAGCCTCCCAAAATGCTGGGATTACAGCCATGAGCCATCATGCCATGCCAGACCTGTATTTCTTACCATGTCTGGGTAAGGTGCAAAATACAATCACTGCAGAGTTTGTGATACAATTGAGAATTTCTAAACTGTCCCTTGGAAATGTCAATTCTAGAAATATGCAAACAGTGTAATACAGCTAGTTCATTCTATAAGAGATAAGGAAAAAAAATGTCCTTCATTTTAAACAGAATCAGAACAGTATGGTATCACTAACAATACTCACAAAATTTAAGTAATAACTTGAAAAATACACGTTAAGCCAAAGCAAAATACAGAACTACAGAGATGGCTATAAATAAATATACTGATAGATACTTACATACTTACCCTATACTTTTAAAACATGGGAAAATATATATACAAAGGAATATTATTCAGCCTTAAAAAAGGAAATTCTGACACATGCTACAACATGTATGAACTCTGAGAACATTATGCCGAGTGAAATAAACCAGTCACAGAAGGGCAAATACTGTATGATTCCACTTAGTAGTCCAAGTCACAGAGAGAATAGAATGGCGGTGGCCAGGAGCTGGTGGGAGGGGGAAATAAGGAGTAAGTGTGTAATGGATACAGAGTTGCAGTTTGAGAAGATGAAAAGGTTCTGGAGATGGATAGCAGTGATGGTTGCACTACAATATGCATGTACTTAATGCCACTGAACTGTATACTTAAATATAGTCAAAAAGGTAAATCTTATATTATGAATATGTTATCACAATTTTTTTTAACTTGGAAGAAAATAGGAAAAAACACTAAAAGTAGTTGTTGGTGGAATTTGAGGGTATCTGGAAGGCCAGATCAATCAAATCTAGGAATTGTTTGGCTTCGATGCCTCTCCCTTTATTCTTACCATCTCTCTGGAACACTGAACACTGGGTCCAGGGCTACAAAAAGCTGCTCAGTGGTCTGCACTGCTGTTCCTGCTGGTGGTCTATTGTATCCTCTCAGGCAATGCAAAAAGCATGTTTTCACAGTCACACTAAACCTCAGAACACAAACTGTGCCCACACTCACCCAATTTAATACTCCAGAACATCACTCCTTACACAGATAAGGAATGGAAAGCAACTTATGTCAAGCCATTCTACAAACACTTGAAGAATTCTCGAATATCTCTCCAGTAGTCTATGAATGACCCAAATGAGGAAGAAAAAGACAACAACACATCAACTGAGGACCCGCTATCCACCAGGCAGTTAGTATGTAGGGTGCCCTGCACGCATCGGTTCTCACAATACCATGAGAAGGTAAGTATTGCTATCAATGTTTTACAAAGATGGAAACTGAGGTGCAAAGAAATGATGCATCTTGTTCCAGGTCACATTTCCAATAAGCACCGTAAGAAGCAACGCTCCAAAAGCCTTCCTTAGGAAGAATGATGATCTCTAACATTAAAGTGCAGGAAAAGAGCTTAAGTGTCACCAGAAGTAGAATTCAATGATTAGACAGACATAGAGTATACACAATCAACTCTGGCTGCATTTATGGGAGGCAGCATAGCCTAGTGGTCAAGATCATGGGCTTGGGAGCCCAACAGGTTGGGGTCAAATGTTTACTAACATTTTTAGATTTCAAGTCACATATAAGAGGATAGGAACAGTGTCTAACTCATTAGAGGTTTATCAGGATTAAATCAGATTACCACAGGTTAAAGGGTTTAGGAAGTACCTGACATAGTCAAAGCTCAATAAAGTACTAGCAGTAATATTTATTCTATGTTCTCGAAGCAACTCTAACAGGTAGGTATTCTGAGCACCATTTTTACTCATGGTAAGCCTTAATACTCATGGTAAGCCTTAAGTTCAGAAAGGTTAAATAAGTTGACAAAGATCATTCAGCTAGTAAAATGGTAAAACTAGAATTCAGGCCTGGATCAGCGGGATTCCAAAGAAAAACAAGATTATGGCATACAAAAAGAGGGTAAATTGAAAAGAAAGGCCTCTTCCCGCTCCTTCTCTCTGGCAACCCGCCCACCCCCACTACTAGACCAACCACCCCACCCCCCCGCCCCGATCTCTGTGGCTGGTGGGAAGCAGGCCAAGTGCCAAAGCCACAGTGGTCGCCAGGTCTCTGCTAGCAGCAGGGCTGGTGGGAGCCCTCTGGCTCCTTCTAGGCAAGAGCAGCAACCCTAACCCCTACTGCACAGGTCTGGGTGTGAGGACACCCAGGTTCCAGCAGGCACTGTCTCTAGGAACTGACCCTGTGACATGTACACACAACCATAAAAGACAGAATAACCAAGGCCTTCCAGACACTACTGTTCGAGATAGCACAAGTCATCCTGAGAGTGGAACAGTATGTTGTCAATACAAAGAATGAGGGGAAACTATTATAAAGTAATATGGACCCATCTCCAAAACACGCTCACAAATGAAAACTGATGATGTGTGTTGGCAGTGCGGGGAGTGTAAGGAGACTGAAACACAGAGACAGAAGGAAGGCATACTTTTCTCTGCATATCCTTTAACATTATTTAAGTTTTCTATCATGTACATATATAACCTAATCCAAAATGTAATACTTTTTTAAAATCCTGGATTGACCACCTTCTTACTACAGAATTTTTTTTTTTTTTTTGGATAGTTACTTAACCTGTCTGAGTCACCTTTTCTTCATTTATTTAAAAAACTAAAACCAAAACAAAACTCTTCTCCCAGATGTGCGGGGGCATTACACAAGATAATTTAATAGGCACTCAAACATGGAACTTGATTATCATTAGCTGTCGTCTATAAACTTAATCTGGGTACCTTGCCCCATCAAAGAAAACAAAAATAGGCCAGGCACAGTGGCTCATGCCTGTAATCCCGGCACTTTGGGAGCCCAAGGCAGGCGGATCACTTGAGGGCAGGAGCCAAGACCAGCCTGGCCAACATGGTGAAACCCCGTCTCTACTAAAAATACAAAAATTAGCCGGGCATGGTGGCACATGCCTGTAATCCCAGCTACTCAGGAGCCTGAGGTGGGAGAATCGCTTGAACCCGGGAGGCGGAGGTTCCAGTGAGCTGAGATCGTGCCATTGCACTCCAGCCTGAGCAATAGAGCGAGACTTCGTATCAAAAAACAAACAAACAAAAAGAAACAAAGAAAAACAAAAACAAAAACAAACATGGCTTGACAACATTAACCCTGTATTGCTCATGTTTCATTTCTTATTCCTCAGGACATTTCTGAAGTTAAAGAAACCCAGCCTCAGTGTGATGAGGACCGCCCCCCACCAGCCCAGGTGGGCTGTGCATAAGGATCAGACATACTGGGGGAGCAGTGATCCAACAAGAAAGACCTTTCAAAGGAGAGACACTTCAAAACTCCTTATCGCCGTCTCCACTAGCCAACGCCAAGTTCTACTTCCATTTTATATCACCGCTTCTCTTTTGTTTTTGTTGTGTTTCTAAATCTGGATCAGGATGGAGACTGGCAGTATCCCTTGAGAAAAGAGGACCATGGCTGAAAACACAAAAAAGTGTTCAGAATGCCCACTTGTGGGCCAAGCACATGTGATCTGCTTAGAAGAATGTCGGCATAGGCTGTAGGTCTTGATGGGAGGACAGTAAACAAACAGACAAACTCAGAATGCTCTCCACACACAGAAAAGGATTTGGGAATGGGAACAATGAAAGTTATTCTACCAAGTATTTTATCCTTCATCTGAAATAGAAAGGCTGTCCCACTGGATGGAAAAGATGGGGCCCCTTAGGAAACTGTGGCAGCTCTTTGCCAGGGAGCCAGCCACACACCCACTCACGCCCAGGCTGACTCCCTGCGTCACCTGCCAAAGGACATGGTCAGTCCCCATCCATGTCCTGAAGTGCCCCCTGAAGCAGCCAAGGCTAGATGCTTCTAAGGGACAAGGAGGCCCTGGCAAAAGGGCAACTTGCTACCCAGGAGTGATCTCTCAAATTTCCGAGGTCTCCAAACTCCTGAAATGAGGCAGATGGTCAAATCAAAGCTTTCAGAAGAAAAAGATCTCCACAATAAATACAGAAATAAAGGCCTTCAGGACTTCATTAGCCCCCTTTTTTTAAATTCATTTTTAAGTCACATCTGATTTTCAAAGACTATGCCTTCCTGCTGTACCACCAGGTTCCCTGTCTTCTGGAGTAAAGCAGCAATTCCCAGGCCTCAATGGCACACTAGCTCGCAGGTTCTGCTGGCTCTGGACCTGCTGCTCTGCTCCTTTCACAGGCCTGCCTGGTCCCATCGATGCAGGGCCTGGAGTCTCTTGCACTGAGTCAAGGGCAGAGGAAGCTGCAACTCAATGGCACTGCACATCTGTAATTCACTGCCTTTGGCTCCCTCCAGCTGTTGTTCCACACCATCCTCACAACTCTTTAAGGTCTTACATTCTTACTTTCCCCATTTTAAAGTCAAGGAAATTGTGTTAAGTAACCTCTTCTCCCCAAGACTGCACAGCCACTTGTGTGGCTGAGTGCCACACAATAAAAATACACCTCATGCCTCTGAATGCTGCCTGCCAGGTGGGAAAACAGGTGTAAGGGTTCTGGCTGTGTAGAAGAAGAAAAACGGTGTTGTCAAAGGAATAGCTGTTCCCCTGGCCAGGTCATTATGGTCAGGAAATCATACAGCAACTCGGATGGAGTGTGTCTAGATTCACAGAGCACATGAGAGGTTAACCATATATTGAAGTCCTTCGTAGTTTTGTCTTAAGTACTCGATCTGATGAGACAAAAACAACTTCATGTGTTTTGAGCAGTTCAGTGAATGATTTTTTCAAGAAAGAAAATTAAGTTTCCTCTCAATCTATGTTAACAAAATGGCAAAAAAAAACCAAAAACATGAGGAAGGAAATTGGGGTCTCCTCTATGCTAAGCATAATGCAAATAACAGATCAGAGATTTTAAATGCAATTATTCCCTCCTCTGTGTTTTAGTGGTTAAAACCTGGCAATTTGAGGTGGTCACTCACAAACATGAATCTCAAACAATGGAGTTTTTATCTACCTCCAAAAAAGTATGGATCTTGGAAAAAGAATTTTTTTTTTTACTCTGATAAGACAGTAATCTCCTACCTTGCTGACTCAAATGTACTTGCATATTAATTGCTTCAGACCCCAAAATCCCTGCTGAACTGGCTAAATTTTGGGCCAAATTCAATAATCCAGCAACCTCCCATTCAATACCTCACCAAGATAACTTTGCATGTTTAATTTAAAAGTACCGATCGCTTTTAAATGAAATGCTAACGCAAGCCCGTCTGCCGGCCCAAGCCACTACTGCATCTCTGAGGGACAAGCTGCAAGTTGGAGAGCTGACTAAAGTCTGAGCAGCCTTCGGACAACGAGGTAAACACAGCCTACCATCTCTCTCCTAAATGGTATCTGTTTCCCCAAATCAAACTTTTAAAACTTGCCCCTTTTGGTTCATTTCCCTGATATAGAGGCAATGAGATCTAGCCTCAGATACTCAAATATTATCTGCTCCAATTGTATCTGATTAGCAAGAAATACACAACTAACCCTCTAGCCAATGCGAATGCCTACACGATTCTAGCTGAACTGACCTAAGGCATTTTTTCCTTTCTCTTTTGCAACTGTGTTCCATGTTTGACCCTTCAAATTTATTTTAAGTAGTTTTGCAAACAGCTTCCTCTCCCCCTTCCTCCCCTATGCAGCCAGCATCTCACATTTCGCCTGCACAGAACATGTTTTGTCCACCTTGGGAAGTGGCACTTTGGGAAATGTAGAGACTGCTTCAGAAAAATCAGAATCAGAAATAGGTTCCATTCATTTAAAAGAGTATCAACGGCTAATTTTTATTTATTTTAGTAGACTAAATCAGAATTAAAGCTGTGACTCCCAAGTGTTAAAATTCACAGCAATCTTTCCAGCCTGTAAAAACAAATATCTTACTCCCTACAATCACAGTAAAAAAATGCCCTAAAAATATTTATAAAATCTCTGCATTGCTTCACTGCTTAGCTATACACAGGCACTAGTCATCATAATCAAAATACTTGATTGAATCTTTTCAAACCAAACATCCAAAGCTTGTTCAATAGCAGTAACAACAATAACTGTTACAATAAAATAACAATTACAATAGTAGTAACAGGTATTTGGAGATTAAAGGAGTAAGGCACAGAAAACAGTGAGAAATAATTTCTGGTCTGTGGTAAAGTGAAAAGGTTTTGATAGACCGTACAGAAAAAGAAGTCAATCTGAATTCATTTAGGGTTCTGGGCTCCTGGACTCACAAATGTTTCATTGTAAAGATTCAGTATGAATTTTTGAAACAGCAAACAGCAAAAGAGTTTAATAGAAAAAAAACAAAGTGCCATTTTGTCCTTGGGTTTTATATATTACTTCTACCAATCTGCCTGCCCCCGAAAGAATGACCGTTAGGAAGTTTCATTTAGAAATTTCTCTTTTAAACTAACTTTGAGTCTAAACACAATGGTAGCAAAATTTGTTTATGGTTTAGAAAATATTCACATGATAATTTGTCTGGAGGCTATTGACATCTCATGAAGAATGATCTTTAGGAGCTGAATTTTCTAGTGCTTTTCCTCAGCCCCCAAAATACAAGTTACTTAACAAAACTACTTCCAGTTTCACTTTATATGCTAGAAATTTTCATGAGAAAAAAGGTATTTAAATGTTTCATTTTACATGAAAATAAGATGACTTTCATATTTCAAATTTTCCTAAAAGAGAGTCTTTTAAGGCAATTAAAAAGACCTCATTTATAAAATAATAAAACCTTCACTGAAAATTACTTAGTTCATGCATTTTTACCACATAACTCGACTCTGAACTATGTTTTATTTGCTGAACTTGCATTTATTATGGTACATTATTTTGCCATGAGCTTCTGCACATGTACCAACATGCACATAAACTAATCCAAAAGTCTGAAATTCACCTTGAGGTCTATCATGTTTGTCAACAAGCATTTTTTTGAGAACCAGATGGCCTACCCATTTATATAAAGAATGTGTGTCTACTCATTCTTTATGGCTATGGTTTCTCCAAATTCTAAATGTGCCACACGTCATCTCCTGTCTGATACTCTGCCTTCATCTCTTTGCAAATCAATTTTCCTATTTATAAAAGCAAACTTGAGCCTGCTCCTTCAAGACAAATTTGACAAAAATGAGTATCTCCAAGTTTCAAAAAAACTCACAGCTATTTCTCACTTGGTTTAAGCAATCTATGCCGCAACAAAACACAAAAAGAATGAACGGGGGGAGATTCTTTGGAGTTTAATGAACTCCTCAAATGGAGTTCTTTACCATCTCTAAACAGAGGTGCGTTTTGGCTCAGCTAGAGATGCAGAGAAAGCTTCCAGAAATTTCAGAGACCTACAAATCTGGGGAAACGAAAAGTCAGCAAGACCTTTTTAAAACCCCTGTGAAGGTCTAATGCTTTATTGATAGTTTAAAAACTTCAAAATGCATCATTTATATTTGATGTATTTGGAAACGTGTGCCAAAAAATAAACAGTAAAATCCAGAGATGCGGGTGGGGGTGGGGGTGGTGTCACTATTTCTCCAATTGAAAGGAGGACACCCCCAACAAGTCTTTAAAAAATCTAAAGCTTTCTGAATGTTTCCCTTTCTTCCCCAGGCCAACACATAGGCCTGGCTCAGACCCTAAAAATATTAAGCTATTAAGGCTTTTTTTATCTTGGTTTTAAGATAAGGAATCAACAAAAAAAAGCTTTCCAAAACTTAATCATATAAATTCACTTATAAGCCTCCCCACAACATTGAATCAATAATCCAGTACGGCCTGTAATCCCAGCTACCTAGGAGGCTGAGGCAGGAGAATCACTTGAACCTGGGAAGCGGAGGTTGCAGTGAGCTGAGATCATGCTACCGCACTCCAGCCTGGGTGACAGAGCGAGACTCTGTCTCAAAAATAATAATAATAATAATAATAATAATAATCCAGTATGTTCATTTAAACTACAGAAAAAAATTACAGCATCTCAGGGAAGACCACATTTATAGCTGGCAATGGAGTGTCATGTGAGGCCGGGAGTCTTTATTATCAGTAGTAAAATAGTGGTCATAATAGTAATGATGTTTATTAAAAGCTTATCATGTACTAGATATATATTCTAATCCTTAAAATAGTTCTTTCTGATCTTGCAAACAAGGAAGTTGAGGCCCAGAGAAGGTAATCTACCCAAGACCATATAGCTAACAAATGTTGAAGCCAGGATTCAAATTCAGTTTCTCAGACTCTAAACCTCAAGCTTTTTCAATTATACCATGTTTGCAATTTATGCTGTTCTATGCATTTTTTTCCTTTAGTATTAATGCATAAATTATTTCAAGAGAAGTTCCTGTCATCACATATTTTTGGGTACATTTGCATGTAGCAGTGATTGGTACCTATCAGTGTGCAAACATAAAACAAGCCACTGCTTCCAGCAGACTGGTCTCTCCCGGCAGACAAGGCGTGTGGCTTGCTAACACTCCACCCACATTTCTCTTCTGGTGTGTGTCTTCTGGTTGGGTCTTTTCCCTTCGTGGCCTTCTTTGTCTTAACTCTAACTGCACTCACAATTTTACAGCCGATCAACGCAGTTAAGCTCCCATACTCTGATTACTTCAAGTATATTAATTTAGTTTCTCTCCAATCGGATTATCACCAATTTAAAAACAGAGACAAAAATCATATGTTACACGTGGTATCAGAGACCATCCATCTAGCCTGCCTTCCCAACCAAAAAAAAAAGGAAAATAAGATTTCTGACAAATGGTTTATTTTTATATGAAGTCGTATAAAGATTAAAACTTAAGTCATATTAAATTATGATCACAATAGCTAACACCACTTACAGAGTATAGGTTCCATACACTGAGATAAATACTACATTTAGCTTATCTCATTGGATTCTCACACACACGAAAACACTTGTAAGTTTATTCTCCCCATTTTGAAGATGAGAAAACTGAGGCTCAGAGCTGTGCATTCTCACAAGCTGGTCCATCAGGATTCAAACGTGGACCAGCATGCTGAGCCTCAGCTCTTTCCACTGCTCCACTTAACTGAGCACAGCTATGGGTGTCACAAACCTCTAACCGAAGGACAGGGTGCAAATCCAGGCCCCACGCTGAGGCCTACCTGCAGGCCTAATTAGAGGGCTCACTACTAAACCCATGTTCTCCCTCCTTCTGAAAAAGAGGCCCAGCAGGCTTCTCCCAGCACTATGAGTTCCCCCAACAGCAGGGACCATGTCGTTTTCATTTGGGCTTTCCAAAGCCTGCACTCTGTTGGGCTGGCATAGCCCATGTATCTGGGACTCATTAAATGGTAAGGTGATGTCGAATTTTATCAGCCTCCCCTAGAGAACTCCCTCAGCATCTGCCAGCCTTCATGTTGCCTGGGATCCCAGGCCAGTTTTACCGAGAAGGTCGGTCTACATTTTTTCCACCTACGCTCGTCTTCCCCACACCTTGTTCACTCCAATGCCACCCTGTCACCACCCACTGCCCAGGCTGCACAGCAGTAGGACTGCTGCACGCTGGTGTCACAGCTGCTTTACAGCATTCCTCACTAGCCAAAACTAGCCACAGGGCCAGCACCTGGCACCTCCCTTAGAAAGCAACAGGAAACCTGAAGGAAAGACCAAAGACCACAAAAGAGGAAATAATTCCTAGCATTAGAGTATCTCCAGAGCATGAGATTTAATCCCAGGCTCAGGACCTGGGGTTGACTTGGAGAAAAGGGGGGGTTTGCAGCAGTACTAGTAAGAAGAGGAGGGGAAGGAGGAGCGGGGGGAGGCGTGGGAAGAGAAGGGAGGAGGAGTAGAGCAGAGGGGGAGGAGAGGGAGGAAGAGAAGGAGAGAAAAAGAGAGAATGCCGATGATGACATTAGACAGGAGAGAGGCCAGCTTTATCCTGCATCCTATTGAATAGCCAACTAAAACAATAAATCTATTTTTCCCTCTTCTTTGCCTTAAAAAAATTCAAGAATTTCATTTCCTTCTTTGAAACATAGCTCTTGCATAATTGCAATGCTCTTTCCTGCTGTCTGCAATGCTGAGGGAAGAGGACTTTTGACTGCCCCAAGGACTTCAGAAGTGGCTACATTCTGGTGCCAAGCCTGCAGTGCACTAACCCTACAGTAAGGCCTGCTTCCATTTACCAAGTGTCTACCTTGCACCCAGAATGATGCTAACTGTATCACAGTTACTGCTAACTCTAACAGCAAACCCGAAGGTAGGCATTATTCCCTTTCTCTCCTGTTTTAAACAGGTGAAGAAATGAAGGCTCAGAAAAGCTACACGTCCACAGTAATACAAAAAGCCAGCAGAAGGGCCAAGATTCCAATTTCAATCTTCCTGACTCCAGAGCCCAGGCCTGTTGTGCTGCAGCTTCTCCACTCTCTGGGAAGTTCTTTGAGGCAGTCTGAAACCTCCTCTGCGTTTTCCAGAGGCAACTATTAATTAGGCACAATAAGCAAAGCACCAAAGCTTACAGAGTGTTTGCAAACATAAAAAAACTTACTGGCTCCAAAATACAAAAAGAAAACTGCAAAAACTGAAATTACTCAAAGTTCAATTAAATGCCTACTACAATGCAAGAGAACGCCACCTAGTACACTGGGATTCAACTCTGATGTAGGTATTGTAAACTGTATTTTCTGTGTGATGGCAGCACAGTCTATTTGTGTTAGTCTGCTTTCCAGGCTGCAGCGCAGGCCTTAAACCAGCCCTGGGTTTCACTGGCCTTTTTCACCAAAGGGCATTCGTACCAGGCCATGGCAGTCAGAGAGCAGGATCTGTGGAAACAGAGGGGAGGGCCTCTGAGAGCAGCGGCCAGAGCAATGTTTCCTCCTCCAGGTGGCAGAAATAGCTTTTCTAGCCTTGTCATAGTGCCCAACCCTAAGAGATCGCCTTGCAGTTGGGTCCCCACCATTCCTCTCACTTATCTGTGCGAGAATGCGGATAGGGCTGGAAGAGAGCAGGCCATCCACGTGGCAGGCCAAGCCCCTGAAGCACTCTGCCACTGTACACACAAGGCCACACACAACCCCTCCCTGCTATCTTCACTTGGGGCACCATTCTCTCAGCAGTATTTCCTCCATTTTCAACTCTTCCCCAGTATTGGTAAATATTGATAATTACCTCCAAACGCAAAAGTGAAGAAGTTTGTGTTTTGAAATATGATCATAATTCAAACTGGAAGCTGACACTAATCATTTGATGTTCACTTGAAAAGACCAGATAGGCTGTGCAGGAACATTTCAGTAGGGGAACCGATAAGGAGAAGGGAAATAAAAATTATTGGTATTTACTCAGCCTGCAATGCTTGTGGAAGGAAACTCTTTTAAAAGGGGAGCACTTCAGAATGGTTATTCAATCTGAATTTTACAGATAGCACTGGAAATATTTTCTTGCAGAATGCACTCTATCTCCACCATCATATCTCTCCGGTGCGCCATTCACGTCGTTCATTGCAGGAATTCTCACTCAATTTTGCTCCATTATGAGCTGACGGTGACCCAGAGTATACAAGGCATTCAAGAATCTGACTGGAAATTACTACCACAAAACATCTGTCCCATTCCCCGCTTGCCAGCCCTGCCTTAGGGAGTGAAGATGGAAAACAACCCAGAATCCACACGCAGGAACAACTTTTCATTCCCCTCACAAACCAGGCTCCTTTGGAAACTGATGGTTCCAGCATTTTTTTAGAAACTATGTTCCCGGAAAAACATGGCATGGGCCTCTTTTGAAAGCCTTCAGCTCAAAACCCTTCTTTTCCTACCCAGACCCTTCTAATAAAAGCCAGGACAGGAGCTTCACGGGGAAGCAAACATGAAGGCCACCCAGGGTTCTCCCTACTTTGTGTGGTCAGATTCAAATTTTGCATTAAATGCCACTGATCAATTAAAAGACCACAGGGATGTCACACATACTAATACATTCCACAGCTTATGTGGCATCTATCTTATAGACATACTCCCTTTGGAAGATTTATGTTGCGATTACAAAAGAGTAAAAGAAGACATCTGATTTCATACAGGGCTAAGCCTCGGAACCCAGCTTTTCTCCTCGATTGCTATCAGAGGATCGAGGCGGCAGCATGGCACCTCCCATCTAGATTGCATTTCACTTTGCTGCAGATGCTCCAAGGGACCAAGCAATGGACATGCTCAATGAATCAAATAAATGAATAATCCAGAAAGAACTGGTTTGTCTGCAATCAAGAATCAGTGTCTGTGTCTCCATCCTCATGTCCAACAGTGCCCCACCACCTCCATATGCTTATAATTCGTCAGGGGTCAGAGAGATCATTGGCACAGTAACTGCTCCCAGCCAGTCACAGTGGTTCACACCTGTAATCCCAGCACTTTGGGCAGTCAAAGCAGGAGGATCACTTGAGCCCAGGAGTTTGAGACCAACCTGCGCAACACAGCAAGCGCTTGGCTCTACAAAAAATAAACAAACAAAACAATAACTGCTCCCTACTATGTGCCTGAAGCTTTATTTATGGACATCTTTGATGCAACCACCCTGTGAGATAATCATCTGCATTTGAGGTGCACAGACAGGCTCAGAGAGGCCAGGTGGCATTTCCGCTAGACCCAGGCCACCCCTATGCATGGGTTCCTTCGGCCTGACCATCACTATGTCCTTAATGTGCTGGGCCTTGCTACCACTGCTGTTTTCAGTTAAACTCTCTTGGGTGCTAAAGTTATGGAGGCACCTCAAATCAGAAGTTCCAGGTTTGAGGAAGAGAGAGCAGAAAGATATGAGATCCCAATTCTTGCATAGGCTGGAATCTGGTGGGACAGGAGTTGTAAACCAATGCCACTGTCCTTTGTTATCTGTGGGGGATTGATTTGAGGACCCCTGAAGGACCAAAATCTGAGGATGCTTAAGGCCCTGATATAAAATGACAGAGTATTTTCATATAACTTATGCATATCCTCCCATATATTTAAATCATCTCTAGATCACTTGTAACTAATAAAATAAAAATGCTATGTAAATAGTTGCTATACTTTATTGTGTTTTTAAACATATCATTTTTTTGTTGTTGAATTGTTATTTTTGTTGTTTTCATTTTTTTTTTTTTTAATATTTTCAATCTTCAATTGGTTGAATCCACAGATTTGGAGGGCCAGCTATGTCTTTCTGGCTTAAAAGTCTCTATAGAAAAACACCATGGAAGAACTTAAAAAGGCAAATCATTATACAAAAGCAGACATGGCCTATGGTTCAGATAGAACATTGTGCCTCTGGAAGGCAGGGAGATCTCCTTTTTTTCTCCTGGAAAGTCCTTGCTTTGGTTAATACTGTGAACTTGCAGAAAAACAAAACTGAGTATAGAAGGGTTGATGACTGAAGCCCACATCTTCAAATGCTTTAAAAGTTAAGTCAGATAATCTTTACACTGATATGAAAGGGGGAGAAAATACATTTGACCCCTTGCTTCAAACAAAAATCTTCCCATCTGGTTTTTAATTAGAAAGCAGTTGTTTTGCTTTTGCAACACTTTTTAACCTCTGCCATTGTAGGTACAAGCCTGCAAACCATATTTTCATTGATTAAAAAAAAATTAAAAATAAACCTTGAAAGAAACAATATTTTTCTTTTTAAGGAAAAAAGATAGCAAGCAGCAATTTTTCTGAAGGGATCAGACACTTAAAGGCATCTATGGGAAGCCATCATGGCTGTGGCCTACAGTTTATTTTGTCTTGAAAAAGTCAGAGGTCATTTTAACTATGCTGACCTGTGAAACTACACATTGATCATCCCGATCCAAGACTGTAAGCAAATACTGCCCTCTTGTGCACCAAATAGTTCGGAGTCGGCATGGAGATGATTTCCACCCCACCGCCCTGTGGACAGTTTGCGATTGTACAGCTGGGTCTCCAGGGCTGGGAGATGTGTCAGGAAGAGGAGGACACACATCTGTTACCAGAGTGCTTGCTAAAGTGTCCCCAGATTGCCTTATGAGATAGATTTCAAGATAAGAGGAAGAGGGAAAGATTCAGCTGAAGAAATCAGACCAAACATAACTGACTCTTATCTTTCCTAGAAAATATTCATTCCTCGAAAAGAAACTTTATTGGTTGCCATAACAAGTTTTCTTATTATGTACTTTTAAAAACTTTTAGAAACTATTAACGAACCTACAAAAATGACTAAGTAGTACCTCTTTTTATCTAGGAAATCTTTGCCAGGAAAAGAGATTCTATTTGATTCTAGAGGGAAAAAAAGCAGGGAGTTAGGGGGATGCCAGGTTGCTGTTTCTCAGACAAATCCTCAAAAGTTGGCAACATGCCCTTCTTTCTGAGATCCCCCAAGCTGGGGGTGTTGCTGAAAGTATTATTTCCTCTAACCTATGGGCAAGGTTCTGTCACCAGAAGACCAAACTGGTATCCCAAGAAAGCTTTTTTTTTTTTTAGACGTGGTCTCACTCTGCCACCCAGGCTGGAGTGCAGTCTCATGCCTCAGCCTCTCAAGTAGCTGGGATTACACACGCATGGCTAATTTTTGTAGTTTTAGTAGAGACGGGGTTTCGTCATGTTGGCTAGGCTGGTCTCGAACTCCTGCTTCAGGTGATCCACCCACCTCCGCCTCCCAAAGTGCTGGGATTACAGGCGTGAGCCACCGTGCCCAGCCTCAAGAAAGCTTTAAAGGATGTAAACTACTGTTCCCTTGTGAAAGAATTTGAGAAAATCAACAGCAGAAAAATATGCATGCAAGTCTGAGGCTAGGCCATGCCTGCTCAACAGGAACCTCGGGCCAGGCGGGGGAGGCGGGGCGGGGGGTGAGGAGCTGGTCTTCCCTACAGTGAGTGTCCAGTTCTGGTTCTGAGGTACAAAAATTATCCCAACATCTGCACCCACGCCTTCACACTTCCAGGCACAGATCAAGACTGACCAAGTCCCATGCCAAACTTGTTTCTGGAGGAAAAAGAAAAGGCAAAATATGCCGCCTGCCCCACCGCCATGCATTGCCTTCAGCCCAAGAGGCAGCCCCGCAGGAAAGGGGATGGAGGGAAGCATGAAGGGCCTGTGCTCTGTGAGGCTATGCAGGGAAAGGAGCACTGACCAGGAGTGAGACGAGGTCTAGGTGTCAGGGGAATTTTATTTACAATTCTATGATGTTAGATACTTAGTATCTCTGATGTCTAATTCTTGAGTTAGTGGTTCAGGAATGTGTCCTTAACCTCCATGTGGCATTCAAGTCATAAGCAGCCAGTGGGCCAATGTTTAATGACCAAACACAATCACAGAGTTGTGAAAAATGTCTAATTCACTTTCTGCCAGGATTGCCTGCCAACGCTGATTCCACATCAGCCCATCCCTCTACCATGGAAATAAGGGGTTACAGTACCAGAAATAAGACTAAGGATGGATAAAGGCCAATAGGATAGCCATAGTGAGACCAGGCATATCCAGAAGGCTGGCCTGCCTTCTTCTGTCTCACCGTGTCCTATTTCAGAATGATAGGATGTGCCACGCTTATCTTTCAGCAAAACTGGGACTTCCAGAGAGTCCAGATATATGCATCTGTCCAAATATACCTGCAACACCAGGTCTGCTGTGTGAAAACCAGCTGATACCCTCTCACTCGTAGCTAGCCCCAGGAGATGTCCAGCCTCAGGACCCTCATGTGTGCTACACCTTTGGTCTGGAACACCTCCCAACATTCCAGGGACGGGCTTTTGTGCCACAGTTTAGCTTCAGCTTTATTGCTTCAGAAAGGCCTTCCCTGGCCTCCAAACTAAAGTAGATGCCCCACATCCATTAGTCCCTATCTGGGCATCCTGTCTTGTCCTGCTTAGCACTTACATAATTTATAATTCCGCATGTTTTATTTACTTCTGTACCATCTGCCTCCCCAACTAGACAGGAAGCTACATGAAAGCAGAAGCCACTTCTGCTTTGTTGACCACTAGAAACTCAACCCCTGGCAAGCAGTAGTTGCTCGGAGTTTGTTGAATGAATTAATGTCATGATCCACCTTTCCTTCTATACCATCTGAGCTTAAGGAATAAGGTCGCCTAACCAAATCTTCAGGACACTAAGAATCCTGGGAAAATAAATCAAAGAAAGCCACGGAACAAGCCAGATGTTCAAACAACTCTCAACCTGTCGCAAAGAGTAAGTGACAGAACCAGCAAGGAGATGCCTGGGGAGGTACCAGAGGGCCTCCCCTCTTAGGGTCCAGTTTCAAACACTGCACACCCATGACAACAGCCTCGAAGCCCCAGGGGGCCTATGACTGTGACATTTCACATTTATGGGTGTCTTGGGCTTCCTGTGAAAAGACACAAGAAGAACTAAAGGGTGAAACTGGCTAGCTGATGGAGGTGAGTGACCTGGTCTACAGAGGGATACTCACTCAGAAAGGCTCAGGCCAGCACCAGGACAGCAGCAGAGCAAATCTCTACCCTCTTGCCTCAGGGAGCCTTCCTCTCTCTCCCCAGAAAGTTTTTTTTACCATGCAAGCACTTGGTAATGGTATATGGAGCCCCAGGTTCACCTCTGGCCTCCCAGGTTCTTAGCAACCTGGCACTCCAGGAATTTTACATTCAGGAGGAACTCTGGACCCAGAACTAGTGATCAGAGACAGTGACCTCTTTTTGTCATGTAGTCAACAAACCCTGGGCAAAGCTGTGGCCTCCCACTGGACAGCTGGCACATTCCTCTGCCTCTGGAGGGCCTCTTCTCCCTTCACCCTCACAGACTATTTGCAGAACAATTACTGGCATCAGCCACAGGCTTGCATTACGCTCATTTCCCCATCCCCAAGCTCTGGGGCAAGTTTAAAAGTGCTCGTCCTGTCTCAGAGTCAGGTCTGAATTAATACCCTTCCTCAAAAGAACTCCAGTAGCAAAGTGAAAACAGACGCCCTAGACAATGCTCTTTGAAAGCCCCAGCAGGGACGACTGGTGACAATGCAGCCCTGGCTCGAAAAGAAACCCCAAGGTTAAAGGTTCACAGAGGCAGAAGAATTACCAAAGTACAACTTTGTTCAAATTTCCTCCGGCAGATTTAAACAACCAGGGTCAAGCTGAAGATTGCCGGCAAAAACCTATGAGACAACTCAGCCCCTTTGAACTGCATGGAGAAAGGAAAATATACGATCTGGGAGGGATCTATGTTATAGCTTTTAAAAATGTTCTTGAAAGGGTCACCCCTGTTAACTCAAAATCAGAAGGATGTTTGAGAACTGCTTCTCTAAAACAACAGGGCCGCTGGGCCCTCACTGTGTGCGGTGAGCTGCACTGAGGTCGCCGTGTTCCCGGCATTAGTGTGCTGACCCTCTGTGGGCCACGAAATTAACCATCAGCATGGCAGAAATCTGCTATGAGTTAAACTACTTTGCTACGCAAAGTGGCCTGAAAATGAAATATGAGGATTGAATTTCCATTGAAAGATTAACTTGTCTAACCTCAAGGCAAGCTTCCTCCACTGTTGAACTCTATTTGGCCAGTTGTTTAAAGCACCATAAGAGCATGGGTAATTGGTGCAGGCAGTGGGAAATGACCTCTTCATTCATTCATTCATTCCGATATGCATGCACCAAATATTTACTCTGTACCAAGGCCTGTCCTGGGCCCTCGGACATACAGTTGAATGCTAACAGGCCCCTACCCTCAAAGAGATCAAGTCCAGTGGAAAACATAATCCAGTAAACAGAAAAGGCATAAGATGGGGAGAAAATGAGATCATAGGGGAATGTGTAGGATGTTACAGGCCCTCAAATGAGGGTGACCTAATCTAGCCTGAGGAGGGTGGACAATGACCCTTCCCAGAAAAGTGCACGTAGCCAGAATATGCAGCATGAGAGAGCACAGTCTGTCTGTCCACAGACCTGCATGTGGTTCATTCGGCCTGGAGTCCTGAGATCTCAACCCCTCAGGAGGGGCCTCGTCAGCCAGCTAAGACTTAGTTAAGCCTTTATGCCAGCAGAGAGCAAACAAAGACTTCTACACAGGGAAGTAGTTTTTAAACTCTCTTCTATCCCTATACCTTCTGCGGGGGGTTGGAATCAAGGAGACTATGTGAGGGAATGCTGTACTCATCCGGCCAGGAACTAGCAGAAGCCTGTCTTCAGGTCGCAGCTGTGGTGATGGGAAATGCAAAGACAGAGAGCAAGCAGGAGGGAGAAGGCGTGGTGATGGATCCAGAGGCAGGTGAAGGAGGAGGACACACTGAGGAGCAGTTCAAGGGCCGCACCTTGGGAGAGTGGAGGTGTCCTTCACTAGGAAGGTGAAGAAGCTGAGAGGGTGGAATCTAAGGGCCTGTGGTAGTCACCCCAGGCCAGGACATCTCAGGAAGATGACAGTTCTTATAACCAAATCACATGTAGGGGACAGCTCAAACCCAACTCTACAATAGGGACACAGAACCTAGTCATTCCTCAGTCCATCCAGCCCTGCGCTGTCAAATACAGCAGCCACTAGCCACCTGTGCCTATATAAATTTAAATTAATTAAAATTAAATAAAACTAAAATTTCAGTCTTTAGTTACACTAGCCACAGTGCAAGTGCTCCAACAGCCATGAGGCTCGTGGCTGCCATGTTGGACCGTGCCACTGTAGAACATTCCTATCATCACAGAAAGTTCTGCTGGAAAGTACTGATCAAGCCACTGCAGAGATTTTTTAAAACACTGTTTTTTCCAGCCAAAGTGTCTGTCAGCCCTCTCTGCAAGGGCTGGGTGCTGATGGGAAACACGGCTGTGCTGTAAGCACCTCAGGGCTCCCTTCCAGTCTTCCTGTGGTCTACTTGTCTGTGAGGTCAGACAGCAAGTGCCGAAGAAATGGAGTCCTTCTTATGTAAAGTCTTTCCTCTCTAGAGCGTAAGTTCTGAAGATCATCTCTGAATGTCCCCTGGATCATCTTTTTAGAAAATAGAGAATGCTGAGAACACAAACCCGAGGGCCTTTACTGTTCATGGCGAAAGATCCTGAAACTCACCTGGAAATGACCACAAACAGGGCCATTTTTTCCTCAAGTGCCACACCGTCATGTATCTGGGAAGACTGAGCTCTAGTGCCAATGTCAAATGACCAAGGACAAGCCACTGACCCTCTGGAGCTCTAAGCAACCCAAATAAATCTATGGTAAGGGATGTAGCCACCAGGCCAAGCAAGGCAAGTTCCTGCTGCCAGACAGGGCAATGCTAGCAAATTTCAAGCACTAATTTTGAAAGAAAAAAGTCAGGTTTATCTTTAAGCAGCACCTGTGCATGGCACCAAATAAATATCCTCAGGAAGTAGGTTAGAGACAAAGGAAATTATTTTAGTCTTCCTGAAGGCCTCAAGACAAGAGAGGAATCATCACAACACAAGAGATATGGAAAGAGGGAAAGTCAACTTCTCTCTCAACAGCAAAAGTTGTTTTTTCTCCTGCCAAGAGAGGATCACCCACATTAACTAAGTCCTCCCTACCCACCCAACAAAGGCCACTTCAAAGCAGCAGGAGCCTAATCACACAGCACAAGAAAATAAAAGACCCAATTAACAAAAGACAAAAACTCAAATAATCGAGGGGAGAATAGAAGCAGAAATCTCTATTTTTGACAATTTGATTTATATATAAAGTGTTCCTCAGGAGCCACAATTTTCTATGGAAGCAGGCATGTGCTAAGGTCTGAGAGCAGCTTCTGGGCAAAGCCAGGGCCTCTGAAACAGAGCCTGGCACTGGCTACTTGTGCGCCCTGCAGCAAACTGCCTACTGCTCAGAGCCTCATTTCTAGTAGCTGAGCAATGTAGATGGAAACGCCTCCCTAGGAGACTGGCTGGGAGGATGCAGCAAGAGCCACGGGTCTAGAACAGTGTCCAGCAGACAGCAAGCGTTCTCCAAAAGTCCATTCTTTCATCTCCCTCCAAGAGGCAGAACTATCCCTTGGCCACTGCTCAGCACTGCCATGTCTGCAACCCCAGAGCCCCACTTTCCCTGCTGATGGCATCCGCCTTGCCTGCCTGAGGTGTCCTTCCTCTTCTCCTTCATCCAGCTGGGTCAGAAAGCTGAAGCTGGAATGATGAGAGGAATGACAGGCCCTAGGACCACTTGTCACAGTCCTCTCCTCAGACTCAGGGAGCTCACTAAAAGCCACCAGAAGCTTAAAACCTACCAGCCTTCCTCCCAGAAGAGACTCTCCCGGCTCCTGAGATCTGGTCCGGGCTACCCTCTGGAAGCTTGGCCTGATACCCCAGTCACACTCCAGCCCTCCCTTTGTCTCTAGGTCCTTGTTTACTCTGAGTCCTCTAGCTGGAATGCCTCCCATCTTCTAAAATGTAATATCTCAACCATCCTTCACAATTCCCACAAGCCAGTTGGACTGGCCTGTGACCCAGCCAACCTGGCCGCACCTCCTTTCACACCCCCCTGTGTGCAAGTGCCAGCCACCCTGACCACTCCCCTTCTTTAGCCAGGGCTGCTTCCATGCCTCTGGACTCTGCTAAGGCTGTTTCCTGGATCTCTCAGCCTGGAAATCCACAGGTCATCCTTCCAGGCCCAGCCGTGTGTCTCCTCCAGCAGGATTCCCTATCTGCCACCCCAGGCAGGTACTCACATTTCTATGCCCATCTCGATCAAAGCCCTTACCACTCCACATCTTAAACTGGCTGCTGGCACTGCCTGGCTTCCTCCTCCCTACTCGGGACTGTGAGCCCCTTGAACACAGGCACGACTGTGTATCTGCCCTCACGTCCAAAACAAAGCCATGCAACGTGTATGTGTAGAATCTCTGAGTGAGTGGAGAAAAACACCAAATGCAGCTCCATGTGGTCCTTTCCCACCACACAAGCTGCCGAAAGCCCTTAAAACAAGGCCTACCAGCCCAAATGTCTCCATGGGCCAGGCACATCACAGAAAGAGGAGGCAGCCTGAGGAGCACATGCCACACACTGTACACTTAAGATGGCTAAGATGGCAAATTGTACATTATTTATACTTTACCACAAGTAGAAATCAATAGAAATAGTTTTGTTTTTTTTTTTTTTCACAAAAAAATGCAATACTGGTTCCCAAAGCATATGCTCGCTTTGGGAGGCTGAGGCAAGAGGACTGCTTAACTTCAGGAGTTCAAGACCAGCCTGGGCAACATAGGAGGCCAAGCAAAAGTCGCCAGACAAAAAGGCCACATATTGTGTGATCTACTTATATGAAATGTCCAGGACCGGTCAATCCAGAGACATTAAGTAGATTCGTGGTTGCCTAGGCCTGGGAGAGGGGCGAATGGGGAATGACTCCTGGTAGGGATGTGGTTTCTTTATGGGGTGACGAAAATGGTCTAAACTGAGATTGTGTGATGACAGCTACACAACTGTATGAGTACAGTGAAAACCACTGAGTGTTCACTTAGTGTACACTCAGTGAAATGGGTGAATTTTATGGTATGTAATTTACATACCATAAAATTATTTTAAAAAATTATATAAACACTATATAAAATTAAAAATGTTTTTAAAATTATTATCTGCTGTATGCCAGGCTCTGGGTTGGCCCTAGACCTACAGAGATGATTCAGATATTGTCTCTACCCCATCAAGCTTCCAGGCTAATGGAAAGAGGAGACATGGAAACCAGCCATTGGAGTGAAGTGTTCACACCAAGAGGGATGCATGCTGTGCAACCAAGTCCAGAGCCTAGAAGAACGAGGACTCACTCCAGCTCCCTATCCTACCATGAGGCTGCCTCAGAAGTGCCAGGCTCTACCCCCACCAAGACTGGGCCTCCAAGATACCCAGAGTACCAGAGCTATAGATACCATCATTTTCCGCACATCAAAGCCTTTACTGGTAAAGGGGACACAGAATTGAGCTCTTAAGGTAAGAGTATCTCATCCCCAGCCTGGTTGAGGCTCCATCAAACAAAAGAATGACAGAAAGGGGAATATGTCTTAGGGCTTAATTTATGGGTTGTTTCCTGGGATGCCTGCCCGAATCCTATTCCAACCTGGATGGAATGATTCCGAAGAAAAACCCAAGAGACATGCTGATAGAAAACAAAGGGGATGCTCAGTGAAAAGTTTAAAAGCAATTAATTTTAAATGATTACAGCTTTACCGAAAGCTGTGGCTATGATTTCCTTCTGACTTTGATTATAACCTTCCAGCAAAATATTTGCCTCAAGAAGCCAGAGTCTTTGCATTATTTTCTATTCCTAGCACGACTACAAAAATATTCTTTGATTTAACTTTTGATATGTTTTGTTCTCAAGGGCAAGCCCCATGAGAAGAAAAATGTACCCCAACAGAATGAAATATGACTACCTGCTTCCATTTTTCTTTCCTGTTGGTTCCTGCTCAAATATTCTGCATTAATTTAAACTCAAGGCTGTGTCTCTGATGTTGCGCTACTCCCACACTGTCACCCAAGCTAAAGCAAAATCACCCGCTGTCCAGCGCCAAGAGAAGGTGCCGCAGACAAAGCTCAACTTGAGTCTCCTGGAGAGAGTTAAAGGCACTCCAGTGTATGGGGAGATCAGGTGGGGTCAGAGAGCAATAAGGTACCAGGCAAAACAAGAAAACTTGTACTTGAATAGTGGTACACTTTAGTGCTGAGTGAGGCAGACTCTATTGAACATAAGAGTCTTTGAAGCAAGTGAAGGCAAGCAACTCCAGTGTCAGCCTCAGCTTTAGTTGGTGGTAGAGGACGTCGAAGAAGCAGTACTGGAGAGTAGAATCTTCTAGTTATGGTGTGTACCTTTCAGTGAAGAAGAGAAAGAAACAGCTCTCACTGGATGGGCACAAAGAAACAGGGAACTAAGGCCTGATGGATACTAGGAACTAAAGAAGTAAAGCTGAAGAAAGCATTTCCACTTAGAACTCCTTCAAATATGCCTCAGTATTTTAGGACAAACATACATAATTACCACAATTTCACATAATATATTCCTACACAGATTCTCCTGAAAAGACTAGGGGTAAAGAAAACCAAAAGTGGTGTTTGGTTTGTTTGCTTTTGCATTAGAGTAACACCCAAATTCCTCAAGGACACCAAGGCCTACCTGGTCAAGCCCCCAGTATGTTATTTCTGCCTGGAGCAGGCTGCTTTCCGGGGATATGTGCAGATGCCTAACGGGTATCACAAAAAAATCTGGTTGAAATTCATTCACACACAAGAACCCCTTGTTTCATTTACGAGTCAAGAGAGGGCATCTGCAGAAAGAATGAAGGGCACACACCTCAATAAAACAGATGAAAGGGGAAGAGCCTTCTCCACATGGGCGCCAAGAACACAGAAGGCTGGAAAAAAGGAAAAGGCAAAGTCGCTTAAGTTTTACAAAGAATGTTCTCTCCAGGCTGCAGAGACAAAAATCTTGTAGGCTCTTGGATGTTTCTCTCCTTCAAGGAGAGTAACCTGAGTCAGACTTAGAAGTCTTTTGCAGCCCTCCTCAGCTCTTGGCAGGGAGGGCTCAGAGAGGGTCAGACCCACGCAGGAGGCACCGCTAAAATAGTGTGTACAGAAGGCAAGAGGTCCAGGCGACAAGTAGCAGTGCTGTTCATTAACAACCGAAACAAAAGACTGGGAGACAATACACTGTTAATCCTCACAGCCACCAGAGGACTATAAATTGCCAAGCCAAGATACCAGCATTTTTCAGCCCTCCTCTTTCCTGCCAGAGTTAGATTGAGGATGAGTCTAAGTCCCTCACACCCACCCAAGTCTTTAAAACATACATTACTGAATCTTTTTGAAGTTGTAACCCTGAAAGATTTATACTCTAAAATGGATTCAAGAAAAATACTGCTCTGAACCACTACAGGGGGCTGGAATGGACGGGTACACTTTTTCATTCACACTGAGAATGCCAGCGTATGGGCTGTGCAGTCAGATCAATATGGGTTCAAACCTAGTTCTGACACTTACTAACTGGGTTCCCTGACCTCTGAGCCATGGTTTTTTATCTGTAAAATGGGAATAGCAACTCTTACCTCCTAGGAATAGTGTGAAGATTAAACAAACAAATCAAAAAAACAGCATACAGACAAGCACTAAATAATGGTAAGTACAATTATCACTGTTAACCCCACAGCACCACTTAGTTTTATCTGTGGCCACATGCATCAAGGGAGATAAAACCCAATTTTCTCTAAGTTAAGATAGGATTCGTGTGTGTGTGTGTGTGTGCGCGCGTGTGTGTGCGCACACAGTGGAATTAGAGCCAGCTTTAATTTAAGATATATTAAACTTCAGAGATATCATCACAGAACTCAGACAACTGTTATAATTTCCTTCTCCTGGGAATAACATATTCCACAGGGGGTCTAAATCTTTCACAGTAGCAAGGAACTCTAACAAGAGCCCGATCTCCCAGGGATGCCAGGTGCAGGTGCAGCTAGAGAAAACCACACCTGCTGCCAGTGGGAATCCCTGCCCAGCAATCCTGCAACTTTCTATCAAAAGCTCAGCCCAATCATATCACACACCTGCTTTAACAGCCTTCCAAGGAGCTCCAGGACCCTTAGGAAAAATCTACACTAAGGGCCATTCTCTAGGGTCTGGCCCTGCCAACCCTTCTAGCTTCATCTTTAGCACACCTCCCACACACCACGCCGATTTCCAGCCATGCCTAAATGCTGGCAGTCATCTCTGATGTTGAGACACAATGGCATGTTTAAGGCTCAGAGCCTTGCCCTTGCCTAGGAAAGAAAAAGTGAGTTACTCCTGCTTTTGCCCTTGTGCAAAGAACTCCAGAAGATCACTTTGTACACAGCAGTGTCTTCCGGGTTCTGATGTAAGCTCCTAAAGGGGAGGACAAAGAACCAACCTGCATAATTCACTACAGGCCAGGCCCTAAGCTAGTTGCCTTCTGTCCACTAACCCACAAAGAAGGTTCTCTGCTCACTAAAACTGGCTAGCCCAGGAGCTGGTACACAGGCTTCATTCATCCAGAACTTACTAAATATCTATCCTATGCCAGGCTCTGGCCCAAGTGCTGAGAACACTGGTGAATGAGACAAACAAGGTTCCTGCTCTGGTCTCATGGAGCTCACATTCTAGCAGAGGACAGATACTCAACAAGTAAACACATGAAGAACGTCAGGTAGTGAAAAGGGCTGCTGGGGCAATGAAACAGGGACATGAGAAAGTATGAGGGGGTGAGGGTTGAAGAGACAACTTTAGATAGGTGGGGCAGGAGAGGCTGCTGAGGAGGTGCCATTAAAGCAGAGACTTAAGGAGCCAGATGTACCAAACAGAGGCAACAACAGGTGCAAATGTCCTGAGGGAAGCAGCTGGTGGGCCCACTGGAGGAAGAGAAATGAGGCCACCGTGACTGAAGGTCAGAGTGGGGAGCAGTCGTTGATGGGATCGTTGATGGGATCAGAGGAAAGCAGAGCCAGACCATTGTCCTATGGGCCACAAAGTGGCTGGATTTTACTCCAAGCACAATGAGAACTCACTGGAAAGTCTTGTCAAGTGTAGGGCTGACATGATCTGATGAACACTTGTAAAAGGAGAGCAATGCCCACTGTGCAGAGAATGAATCAGAGGGAGGAGGAGAATAAGCAGGCAGGGGGCAGAACTGTAGAAGTCCAGGTGCCATAAGCCAGGATGGCCTTGGGGGCCATTTCAAGAAGGCAAAGATGCCCACAAGTTTGTGGACCATGAGGTGAAATGAAGGTATTAACCAGATCCAGGTTAGGGGTGGCGGAGTTAGGTTCCAACACTAGCCCAAGGCACTTTGCTTGGGTTTCCTCATCTGAGAAATAAGGCTAACTAACACTCCCACCACACAGGGTGGTATTGCATAGATGCAAGTTCCTGGCAACAGGCCTGGGCCCGAGCAGGCACTCAATGGGGAACACCTTCTCTTTACAAGAAAAACATTGTTTTTTCTCAATTCCCTGAAAAGGAAGGTGGGTCTCTGATGTATTCAAGGAAGAATGGTAGCAGCCTTGGTCTCAGCATTCCATTCCACTCAGGCCATATTTTAAGAAGATAAATCTCCCTACTCCAGAGATGAGACAAAAGATAAGCAACAATGTACATACAAAAATAAGTTCTTCTACAGTTTTAGTCTAAATAAAAAACTTGCCAAATTCTTCAGGGCATTACAATTGGTTATATAGGACCAGGCAAGTGCTGAAACTTTTTTGCAATATGAAGAGCTTCTCTACAAATGAGGCTTACCTCAAAGATATTGTGCATTCAGTTCCAGACCACTGCAGCACAGTGAATATCACAATAAAGCAAGTCAAATTTTTTGGTTTCCCAATGTGTATAAAAGTTATGTTTACATGACATGTCGTCAATTAAGTGTGCAATAGTAGTATGTCTCAAAAAACAATAAACATTCCTTAATTTTAAAATAATTCATTGCTAAAAAATGCTAATGATTACTGAACCTTCAGCAAGTCATAATCTTTTTGCTGGTGGAGGGTCTTGCCTCAATGGTGATGGTTGCCGACTGATCAGGGTGGTGGTTGATGAAGGTTGGGGTGACTGTGGCAATCTAATGAAATAAGACAATGAAGTTTGCCACATCAGGTGACTCTTCCTTTTACAAAAATTTATCTGTAGCATGTGAAGCTGTTTGATGGCATTTTACTCACAGAATTGCTTTCAAAACTGGAGTCAGTCCTCTCAAATCTTGCCACTGCTTTATCAACTAAGTTTATGTAATATTCTAAATCCTTTGTTGTCATTTCAACAATGTTTACAGCATCTTCACCAGGAGTAGGTTCCATCTCAAGAAACTACTTTCTTTGCTCATGCACAAGAAGCAACTCCTCATCCACTCAAGATTGATCATGAGATTGTAGCAATTCAGTCATATCCTCAGGCACCACTTCTCATTCTAACTCTCTTGCTATTTCTACCACATCTGCAGTGACTTGCTCCACTGAAGTCTTGAACCCCTCAGTCATCCATGAGGGTTGGAATCAACCTCTTCCAAATTATTGTTACTGTTGATATTTTTACCTCCTCCCATGAATCACAAATGTTCTTTATGGCATCTAGAATGATAAATCCTTTCCAGAAGGTTTTCAATTTACTTTGTCCAGATCCATCAGAGGAATTATTATCTTGGGCAGCTATGGCCTTATGAAATATATTTCTTAAATAATAAGACCTGAAAGTCAAAATTACTCCTTGACCCATACACTGCAGAATGGATGCTGTGTTAGCAAGCATGATAACAAATTAATCTCTTTGTACATCTCCATCAGAGCCATTAGGTGACCAGGTGCATTATCAACAATCAGTAATATTTTGAAAGGAGTATTTTTTCTAAGCAGTAGGTCTCAACAGTGGGCTTAAAATATTCAGTAAACCATGCTATAAACAGATGTGCTGTCATCCAGGCTGCGTTGTGCCATTTCAAGAGCACAGGCTGAATAGATTTAGCATAATTCTTAAGGGCCCTAGGATTTTTGGAATGGTCAATGAGCAATGGCTTCAGCTGCATTAGCCCCTAACAAGAGTCAGCCTGTCCTTTGAAGCTTTGTACCCAGTCATTGACTTCTCTGTAGCTATGAAAGTCCTACATAGCATCTTCTCCATATAAGGCTGTTCCATCTACAGTGAAAATCTGTTTAGTGTACTCACCTTCATCAATGATCTTAGCTAGATCTCCTGGATAACTTGCTGCAGCTTCTCTATCACCATTTGTTGTTTCATCTTGTACATTTATGTTCTGGAGATGGCCTCTTTCCTCAAACCTCATGAACCAACTTCTGCTAGCTTCAAACTTTTCTTCTGCAGCTTCCTTACCTCTCTCAGCCTTCATAGAATTGAAGAGTTAGGGCCTTGCTCTGGATTAGGCTTCCACTTAAGGGAATGTGGTAGCTGGTTTGATTTTCTATCCAGACCACTAAAACTTTCTCTATAAAGCAATAAAGCTGTCTTGCTTTCTTATCATCTGTGTGTTCACTACAGTAGCACTTTTAATTTCCTTCAGGAACTTTTCCTTTGCGTCCAAAACTTTGCTGTTTGGTGTGGTGTAAGAGGCCTTGCTTTCAGCCTATCTCAGTCTTCAACATTGCCTTCATCACTAAGCTTAATCATTTCTAACTTTTGATTTAAAGTGAGAGACTTGCAACTCTTCCTTTCCCTTGAACGCATAAAGGCTATTAGCTGGATGAATTTTAATATTGTTGTGTCTCAGGGAATAGGGAGGCCTGAGGAGAGGGAGACAGACAGGGAAAAAGCCAGTAGGTAGAACAGTCAGAAAACACACAACATTTATTAAGTTTGCTGCCTTACATAAGCATTGTTTGTGACATTTCAAAATTACAATAGTAACATCAAAGATCACTGATCCCAGATCACCATTAACAGATGACATGTGTTTGAAATGAAGTGAAATGTTTGATGCTTAATATTTGATGAAAAGTTTGAAATATTGTTAAGAATAACCCAAATGTGGCATAGAGACACAAAGTAAGCAATGCTGTTGGATGGGTTGCCTTGAACCTTCGATTTGTAAAAACCACTATCTGCAAAGTACAATCAAGTGAAGCACAATAACATGAGGTATGCACGTATGTTGGAAGCGGATGAGGGAACTATAGGGTAACCTGGGGAAGCATGCAAAGGACTCCAGCTTTGGAGTCAGGCAGACCTGGACTGTTTCACTAACTACCTGCCTCCCTAAGTCCCAATTTTCTCAACTATTAAATGGTAACCACCACGCTCCTTGCAGGGTTTGCCTGGTAAGCAGCAAATACACAAGAAAAGTCAAGCCAATAAATAGTTGTGTGGTTACCACTATCTTCCAGTTGGAGCAAGGTCCAGAATTAGGTTCAAACGTCATACAGCTAAGGAAGAAAGCAAGCTAGGCTTCAAGCCCAGTTTTGTCTGACTCCAAAAGTATGTCCTTCACCACTCATCTACCCTATTTACTAGACAACACTAAAAACTCGCCATCTCATTTTTTAACCTCTGCCTTCCACCTCCAGTCTGGACTGGCTCAGAGTCCATGTTCTAAAATGTACTTTGATGTGACCAAACAGAATTCAGTTATAAGGGGGCAGGGAGGAATGGGTAGAGAATTGTGTGCCCCTTGAAATTCACCTGACTGAAACATGGATTGAGGAGAAGACTTTAGATAGTGTGACCCTGAGCAAGTCCCTTCACTTCTTCAAACTTCTATTTCCTCTACTGTAAAATGGGGAAATGATCTCAGACTGCCTGTAACATGAAACAGTTGGGAGGTAACAAAGATGAAGTACTGTACTTAACAAGCTCACCATTATAGCTGGGACCCAGAATGCCCAGTGACCAATGAGGCCATCTGCCACCAAGCCAATTATCATCTGCCCAATATATATTCCCATGTGTGGCATACAGAATATTGCTGGAAGGAAACACAAGAAAATGGGAACAGAAAGGTAATCAGGTACTGGGGTCAGCAGTGAGAAGTATACTTCTTTAGCTATATACCCTTTTATACCATGTGTTTATATTATTGTATCATTTTTTCTAAAAACAAAACATGTTTTAAAACTCTATCCATATATTTAAGTGGAGTTAAATGGGTCTGGAAAAGTAATCCACAAAGGTATAATAATGGTCTTTTCAGCCAGGCACAGTGGCTCACACCTGTAATCCCAGCACTTTGGGAGGCCGAGGCATGGGGATCACGAGGTCGAGATCAAGACCATCCTGGCCAATATGGTGAAACCCCATGTCTACTAAAAATATAAAAATTAGCCAGGTGTGGTGATGTGCACCTGTAGTCCCAGCTACTTGGGAGGCTGAGGCAGGAGAATCGCTTGAACCGGGGAGAAAGAGGTTGCAGTGAGCCAAGATTGCACCACTGCACTCCAGCCTGGTAACAGAGCGAGACTCCATCTCAGAAAAAAACAAAAAAACAAAAAAACAAAAAACGGGTCTTTTCATTTGCAGAGATAGGAGGGGTACAGAATTTAGGACAGAGGAGTGGGTAAGGGAATGTTTGTCTTATTTGTGATGTTCTATTTCTTCACAAGTAGCATGTATTCATGTATTACATGTATAATTAAAAATTAATGGTACCTCTTTGTGGGGCATTTTGGCAGTACCCACCACGACCGAAAACACACATGCCCCTTGCCCCAGCCAGTTATTATCTATTATCCTACATATATGCGAACATACCAAAGAGTTCTGTTCTAGAATATTCACTGCAAAATGGTTTGTAAATACTGGAAACAGCATAAACGTCCATCATTAAAAGATTTGTTCAGAAAATGTTGGTACAGGCCGGACGTGGTGGCTCACGCCTGTAATCCCAGGACTTTGGGAGGCCAGGGCGGGCGGGTCATGAAGTCAGGAGTTTGAGACCAGCCTGACCAACATGGTGAAACCCGTCTCTACTGAAAATACAAAAAAATTAGCCGGGCGTGGTGGCGCGCGCCTGTAATCCCAGCTACTCAGGAGACTGAGGCAGGACAATCGCTTGAACCCAGGAGGCGGAAGTTGCAGTGAGCCGAGATCGTGCCACTGCACTCCAGGCTGGGCGACAGAACAAGACTCTGTCTCAAAAAGAAAAAAAAAAAAAGAAAAAGAAAATGTTGGTACAAGGGTGCAGTTGAATTCTATGTGAGCTTTAAAAAGAATGATGTAGCTTTGTGTACAGATATGGGGCACTCTCCAGACACAATGTTGAGTGAAATCGTGTCTAAAAGGATGAGGGAAAGAGGGATTTATACATACACACAGATATGCTTGTATTGACGTGGAGCCTTTCTGAAATGATATACAAAAACTGGTAGCAGCGGTTGGCTCTAGGAACGGGAATCAGACCAAATGACAGGTGAATGAAGACAGCCTTTGTATGTATACCCTTTTTGTAGCTTGTGAGTTTTCTTATTTTGAGTTTTCTTTACTTGACCATGTATTATAAACACATTTGGTAGGGATTTTTTGATTTTTTTTTTTTTTTTTTTTTAAGGAAGGCGCCTTGCAGCTCGGTTCTGCTGGATGGGAAAAGCTGAATCTCAAAGCCTCCGCTCACTTGCTGCGGAGCCCTAGGCAAGTCACGTCCGCCTCTTGGGGCGTCAGGAGCCCCACCAATGAGGTGGGGCGATTTCCCGTCCCGGCAAAGGCTCGAGCGAATTCGGACACGGGGCCCGGTCGCTCCGCCCGCGTCCCTGAGCCCGGCTCCCGCCCCGGCCCGCGCTCACCGCCGATGATGGTCCGGATGAGGGAGGCGTGCCCGGGGCAGTCGACCAGCGTGACCTGAAGCAGTGGCTCGCCGGGCTCGGGCTCGGCCTCGGGCGCTGCCTGGAACTCGGGCAAAGACGACCGCAGGCGCGCGGGCAGCGGCACCGAGAAGCACGAGAAGCCCAGATCGAGCGTGATGCCGCGCTCGCGGCTCTGCGGCTGCTTGTCAAAGGCGGCGGTGGAGGCTGTGGTGCTTAGCGCCCGCGCCAGCGCCGTCTTGCCGCTGTCGATGTGGCCCAGCACGCCCACGTTCACGTTCACCCGCCGCCCTGCCATGCCGCCGCCGCCGCCTCGGACACCCGCCCGGCCCGCCCCTCACCTCCCTCGGTAGTCGCCGCGGTCCGGCCCGTTAAGTTGCCCCCCCGTAACCGGCGCGCTGTGCACACCCGTTCCGGCCCGGAAGCTTCCGCCCTCCTGAGGCTCACGGGCACAGCCGAGCGCCGTGCTCCGAGTGGGTGGTCTAGGAACTGGAGGTCACCGTAGGCAGGGTTTCTCTCTCACGTGGCTCCTCCTGCCTGAAGCCTCTAGGAGCCCGAGATGGAGGGATCCTTCTGAGAAGTGAAGCCATTTGGACTTTCTGGGTGAGTGGAGACTTGGAGAACTTTTCTATAGCTATCAAGAGGATTGTAAAATGCACCAATCAGCGCTCTGTAAAACGCACCAATCAGTGCTCTGTAACATGCACCAATCAGCAGGATCCTAAAAGAAGCCAATCACAGGGAGGATTGAAAAAAGGGCGCTCTGATAGGACAAAAACGGAACATGGGGGGGCGAAGGGGGGCGGGGGGGGCGGGGTGGGCGGGGGGAAGACGGGGGCGGGGGGGGCGGGAAGACGGGGGCGGGGGGGAGGGCGGGGGGACGGCGGGGGGCGGGGGAGGGCGGGGGGACGTGGGGGAGGGGGCAAATAAGGGAATAAAAGCTGGCCACCCCCGCCAGCAGCAGCAACCCTCTCAGGTGCCCTTTCGCATTGCAGAAGCTTTTTGCTCTTCACAATAAATCTTGCTGCTGCTCACTCTTTGGGACTGTGCCATCTTTAAGAGCTTTAACACTCACTGCGAAGGTCCGCGGCTCCATTCTTGAAGTCAGCGAGACTAGGAACCCACTGGAAGAAACCAACTCCGGACACACTTCCAATCATTCATACATTTCAGCAAGATCTTACCAAGTGCCTGGTGGGTTCCGCTGGGCTACAGTGCCCGCTAATATTACATTCAGGGGGTGAGGGCTAAGTCAAACAATACAGCCTGAACCAGACCATTTCAGAGAGCGAGAAGTCTCCTAGGGAAAATAAAAGCTGAGATAAAAAGGAGCAGGAGAGGGAGGATGGACAGCTACCTAACTGTGGGTCAGGGAAGACATCTAGGAGTTGCTGTTTGAGTTGAAACTCCAGTGTTGAGAAGGAGCCAACCATGGGAAAAGATGGTTTGAAGATGGAAGAGGACAACATTATCTCTGACTCAGAAATTCTCACCCTGAGAGTCTGTAGCCTGGGCTTAGGAGAGGCCACAAACCTCTAAATTGAACGCACAATGTGTTGTGATGTGCTCTTGCTAGACAGAGGGTCGACAACTCTCACTAGATTCTGAAGTGTCTAGAACCACAAAAAAGGTTGTCAGCCATAGTCACCAACCAGAGGTAACAAACCTAAGTGTCTGCTCTGGCCAGGTGGTGGGTAAATCAAAGAAGAGAAGTTAAAAGAGTCTAAGATGACAGGGAGTGGTGGGGACCTGGGAGACCTGGAGAGCCCTTTTCCTGTGCAAAGAGGGAAGCCACTGCTCAGTCTCAGCCAGTGATACCAGGCAGGAATGCTAGCCCAACATTGCCTCCTCCTTCCATTTTTCTGGAGAAGAGAGTGTTTTTGTAACACTGTGGCGGTGGAGCACAAAGTTCACAGGATCTTACCTTTGCCCTCTGTGATGAGCCAGACCATGTGCGGATGTATTCATGCTTGCAGTAACTGCCTCCTTCGTTCCACCACTCTCCACTAGGAACAGAGTCCATGTCATAGACTGAATTGTGTCCCTCTCAAATTCATATGTGGACACCCTGACCCCCAGTGTGATAGTATTTGGAGATGGGACGTTTGGGAGGTTAGATGAGATCATGAGAGCGGGCCCTTGTGATGGGATTAGGGTCCTTACAAGAAGAGAACAGAATCTTTGTTTCCGTTTTCCCACCTTGCAAATAGGAAACTGTAAAAATACGCCTCCCATTAAAAAAAATCTAGTAGTAAAAGCAGTAAACGTATTTAAAAGGGAGGGTTAGTAAATAGGTAATAAGAGCTTTAGAGGCTTTATGTACCTCTGAGAAATATTTCAACTAACAAAGACTTTGTACAGGGCCTGGCTTCAAATAAACCTCATTTCTTACCTCTGTTTTAAACAGAATCCTGAAATGGTAATGAAAAGAAAAAAGGTTTGGCTGGGCACGGTGGTTCATGCCTGTAATCCCAGCACTTTGGGAGGCTGAGGCAGGCAGATCACTTGATATAGTTTATATATCTATATATAGAATATATATAGATTTTATATATAGATATATAGAGTATATATATATAGAATATATACAGTGTATATATAGAATATATAGAGTATATATAGAATGTATATAGAGTATATATAGAATATATATAGAATATATAGAATATATATAGAATATATATAGAATATATACAGAATATATATAGAATATATAGATATATAGAGAATATATAGAGAACATATAATATATATAGAATATATAGAATATAGAATATATATTATATATATAATATATAATATAATATATATAATATATATAGAATATATAATATATAATATATAGAATATATAATATATATAATATATAGAATATATTATATATATAATATAGAATATTATATTATATATATAGAATATATATATAGAATATATATATATAATATATAATATATAGAATATATATAGAATATATAATATATAGAATATATAATATATAGAATATATAATATATAGAATATATATAGAATATATAATATATAGAATATATAGAGAATATATAATATAGAATATATATAGAATATATAATATATAGAATATATATAGAATATATAATATATAGAATATATATAGAATATATGTATAGAATATGTATAGAATATATGTATAGAATATATACATAGAATATATATTCTATTAGTTCTGTCAAATATATATATTCTGTGGAATATATATATGGAATATACATATATACATATGGAACATACATATATACATATGGATGTATATTCCATACAATGGAACATACATATATATATATATAATGGAATATATATACACATATATGGAATATATATACATATATGTATACATATTCCAAGATGGAAGAGGACAACATTATCTCTGACTCAGAAATTCTCACCCTGAGAGTCTGTAGCCTGGGCTTAGGAGATATATATATATTCCATGTATATTCCATTAGTTCTGTCCCTCTAGAGAATCCTGACTAATACAAATCTTCTAACAAATATTCTAACAAATATTGATTGAACACCTGCTGTGTGGCAGACATGATATTTTGGAGGGATACAACTGTGGATGAATAAGGCAAATAATGATGAAGTGCTTTGGGAGAAATAAGGCAGCATGGCTGAGAGTTACTGGTGCAAGGGAGGAGGATGCTTATTAAGGGAGAGGCATTTGAGCTGACAAAGATGCAAGAGAAGGGCCAGGCTGCACAGAACCGAGGGAAATTGATGAAAGAACGTGCTGCACAGAGAAAACAGCAGGCTCAGAGACAGCAGCAACCTAAGCCATGTGGCACGTGGCGAGGTGGGGCTGAAGAGAAGAAGCTGCATGCTAAGCATATCCTGAAAATGTCTTTCAAAGTATGGTTTTAGCCTGGTGGTGTGGCCTTCTGAAGCATCAAAGGCAGAAGCTCTGGAAAGCTGGCCAGAGGCCAAAGCCAGACTTCCCCAGAAAACAGAATCTCACCAATGCTGAGATTGGTGTTACAACATCACCGAAGTCTCCCTCCTTGTGTGGGCTCTGGTTGTGTGGCTGGCCCAAGGGTCTCAGAAACAGATTCCCATGGAGAGAAACCATTGAGACTCACTCCTTCCTCCAGACAGTTGCTCTGGAAGCGTTTCAGGCCCCAGCCTCTTGTTCTTTTGGGCCCCAAGGAAAGTAGTCTTCATGAAAAGGCATGTTCTAGTACCAAGTATTTCTTTTCTATATTGTATGTAGTAGCAAAATATTATAAACAAAGTAAATGTCCTTAAAAAGAATAATTATGGTAAGTTTGAAATTATATCAAGACAAAGGCCAGGCATAGTGGCTTACACCTGTAACCCCAGCACTTTGAGAGGCGAAGGCGGGCAGATCACTTCAGGCCAGAAGTTCAGGACCAGCCTGGCCAACATGGCAAAACCCCGTCTCTACTAAAAGTACAAAAATTAGCCAGGCATGGTGGTGCATGCCTGTAATCCCAACTGCTCGGGAGGCTGAGGCACGAGAATTGCTTGAACCCGGGATGCAGAGGTTGCAGTGAGCCATGATCGCACCACTGCACTCCAGCCTGGGCAACAGAGTCTTGCTCTGTCAAAAAAAAAAAAAAAGAAAGAAAGAAAGAGGAAAGAAGAGAAATTATATCAGATACAAAGCTACCAAAAAGAAAAGAAAGAAAGGAAAGGAAAAGAAGAAAGAAAAAAGAAATTATATCAGACACAAAGCTACCAAAAATCATAATTTAAAAGAAGAGTGTGTGGCAGTCTAGACTGGCCCTGAGTTGATCATTGTTGGGTAATGGGTCTTGGGGGTTCATTATTCTGTCTACATTTTTGATATGTTCAAAGTTTTCCATAATGAAAAACTGTAAATAGAAAAAGAGAGATCATGGTCTGTCTATACTGTGGAATACGATGCAGACTTTGAAAAGAACAAAGAAGCTGTTTGTACACTACTTGGGAACAATCTCTAAGATAATATTGGTAACTGAAAAAATAGGGTGCACACTAGTGTGTGTAGCATGTTTGCATTTATGAAAAATGCACTCTCTATATATATGTGCTTGTACAAGTACAGAATAGCCCTACAAGGATACATAAGAGATGGATAACAGCAGACACAAGAAGGTCCCAGGGCTCAGCCCTCCAACTTTCTCTCTATATGTTTACTCCCTGGTGATGTCTATGTCTCTTGGCGTTACAAGCCATTGACTCCCAAATTCAGGTTCTGTGTGTGAGCCTGCAGCCAGGAGCCTCCCCCTCCTAACTGCAGGCTCACATACACAACCTGAATGTGTAATAGGCATCTCAAACTTACATGTCAAGGTCAGAATTTCTGGTTTTACCCTCCACTCCACTCCCATCACAGTGAATGAGAACTGCATCCTCCCAGTTTTTTAAGCAGCAAACTGGCTCAGTTCTTGACTCCTCTCTTTCTTTCATACACCACATCCAATTCATTAAAAAATTCTGTTGGTTTTACCCTTAGAATCCAATCCCCTCTGAACATCTCTACCATCAGCACTTGATCTAAGCCATCATCTCTTCACCTGGATTACTGCAACAGTAAAATTCACCCTTGTTGGTGTACGGCTCTATGAGCTTTGGCCAATGCATGATATCAGGTAATCACCATCACAATCAAGATACAAAACAGACTCAACCCTCAAAAAAAAAAAAGCCCTTTATGATCAACCCCTCCTACACCTTTAACCTCTGGCAGATAGTTATCTATGTTCTCTGTCTCTACAGGCTTTGCCTTTTCCAGAACATCATATAAGTGGAAGCAAACAGTAGGTAACCGTTGGGGTCCAGCTTCTTTCACTTAGCATAATGCATTTGAGATTTATCCATGTTGTTGTGTATAACTGCAGTGTGTGGTCCTTTTTATCACTGTGTAGTATTCCATCATATGGATGGATCATCATTTGGTTGCCCAGTCACCTGTTGAAGGGCATTTGGGTTGTTTCCAGGTTTTGGCTATTATAAAGCTGCTCTAAACACTTATGTATAGGTTTTATGCCAACATAAGTTTCACTCAGGTAAATACCAAAAGTGAGATTGTTGGGTCATATGGCAAGTGGGTTTTAACTTTATAAGAAACTGCTGAACTGTTTTCCAGAGTGGCTGTATCATTTTACATTCCCGCAGCAATGTATAAGAGTTTCGCTTGCTCAGCATCATCAGTTGTATTTGGTATTGTTGAGTGTCTTGTTTTTGTTTTTGTTTTAGAGATGGGGTCTCACTCTGTCATCCAGGCTGGAGTGCAGTGGCATAATCATAGCTCACTGCAGTTTCAAACTCCTGGGCTCAAACCATCCTCCCGCCCCAGCCTCCTGGGTAGCCTAGCCAATTTTTAAAATTTTTTGTAAAGATGGAGTCTCATTATGTTACCTAGGCTGTTTTGTTTTGTTTTTAATTTTAGCTTTTCTTGCAGGATGTGGTGGCTCATGCCTGTAATCCCAGCATTTTGGGAGGCCAAGGTGGGAAGATCATTTGAGCCCAGGAGTTGGAGACCAGCCTGGGAAACACAGTAGGGCTCCACCTCTACAAAAAACACAAAAATTAGCCAGGTATGGTGGCACATGCCTGTGGTCTCAGCTACTCAAGAGGCTGAGGTGCGCGGATCCCTTGACCCCAGGAGGTCAAGGCTGCAGTGAGCCGATTGTGCCACTGCACCCCAGCCCGGGCAACAGAGCAAAACCTTGTCTCAATAATAATTATAATGTTGGCCTTTCCAATAGGTGTGTTGTGGTATCTCATCATGGTTTTAATTTACTGAAGCTGTTCTTTTACTAGGACTCCCTGCATCTGCTCTTGTTCTCCTATAGCCTGTTCTGCTTACAGAAGCTGGAGTGAGCCTTTATCTCCTCATCTCACTTGGACGAGGAGCCACAGTCCTTACAGCAGCACAGTGGCAGGCAAATGGGGCCATGCACACTCACAGAGACACAAACGCACACAAGTGCGCACACACACAGATGCATGCACACACACACAGACACATGGACACACGTGCACACGCACAGAGACACACAGATGTACGTACACACACGTGCACACAGCGGCAGGCAGATGGGGCCATGCACACGCACAGAGACACATGTGCATGCACACAGATGCACACGCAAACATGTGCACACGCATGAGACACACACGCATACATGCACGCACACACAGACGTGCACACAGCGGCAGGCAAATGGGGCCATACACACACATAGAGATACACAGACGCACATGCACATGCCCGTGCACACGCACAGAGACACACACACACAGATGCACGCACACACACGTGCTCACAGCGGCAGGCAAATGGGGCCATACACACACATAGAGATACACAGACGCACATGCACACGCCCGTGCACACGCACAGAGACACACACACAGATGCACGCACACACACTTGCTCACAGCAGCAGGCAAATGGGGCCATGCATAAGCACAGAGACACACGCACACATGCACACACACACACAGACGCACGCACATGCACAGAGACACACATACACACACATACACACACCATGCTACCTTCCTGAACTCATCTCCTGTTTTCTTCTGGCTCCAGCCACACTGGCCCCCTTGCTGTTACTCAAAGCCCCCAAGCATGGACCAGAGCATTTTTCTCCCAAACCTCTAAATGGCTCACCCCTCACCTCCTCCAAGTTCAACTGTCACGTCCTGCATTAGCCCTGCCCTGGACAGCCTCTCTAAAAGTACAGCCCCCTCCCTACTCCTGATCCCCCTTATCCTGCTCCAGTTTCTCCTTTGCGCATATCACCTTTGAACATACGTGTATGGTTTATTTCCTTATTATGTTCATTCCTCATTATCTGCTTCCCCCTGGGTTTAGCACAGTGCATATAGGTGGTGCTCAATAAATGTTATCTCCAGGGAGGGGAACAGGTTGGCTGGAGGGAAGACAGAAAGACATTTTACTTGAAATACATTGGCATTTTTTGAATTTTAAATCATGTGAAAGTATTACCTATTCAATAAGTAAATTTTTTAAAATTTGAAAAAGTGTCCTAAAGGCACCAGTAGGACTAAGATTCCTTAGTTTGTAGTCCCCAAGGGAAGAGTTACAAATGCTTTATCACTGTCACCTGTGGATAGACTGACTCCTCACCCCACCCCAGCTCACCCTGCCATGCTCCTCTCCGTTTCTCTCCCTGTGCCTGGTGACCCTGAACCTGTGAAATCCTGCACACACACACCGTGCCCATCCACCCCACCCCAACACTCGCCCGCGGGCTACTTCCTTGGGCTGGCACGCCCTCTGGAAGCTTCCTCAGACCTCTGGGGGCTGGATTGGCTACCTCCATGTCATGTTCTGCACAGTCATGCTTTTTGAGGACAAATGACAGAAACTCACAGTGAAACTGACTTAAGCAAAAAAGGGAACATGCTGGCCCATGGTGTAGTGAAAAGCACAGACACTGCTTGTGTCCAGTCCTGCTCCCACCAGCTGGAAATTGTGGAGCCTTGGGCACATTACAAAACTGCTTTGTGCCTCAGTTTCTTCATTTGTCAAATGGGGCATAATACTTCCTAACTCACAGGGTAATGATGATTATATGAATTGGTATGTCTATAGCACTTAGAGCAATTCCTGGTATATTAATAAGTGCTATATCAGAGTTTGTGAATTTAAATAAATAAACCTAGCTAAAAAGTCTGGGGGAAGAGCTTGCTTCATCCAGGGGCTCAGATGACAACATGAAGACACTGACTTTGTCTCTTTCTCTCCGTTCCTCCTTCCTCTGAGTTGTCACCATTCCCAGACAGGCTCCCCCCTCACAATGACAAAGTGGCTGTCAGCAGCTCCACAAAGTCCCCAAACCAAGTCTCCTTGGCCCTGATGAAGTCATGTGCCCCTGCACCAAGAGAGAAATCCAGTGCTCTGCCTAGCCAGGTGTGGGTCATGAGCCCACCCCAAGAATGGGGGGAAGGAGGGACCAGGGGATCCCCTACAGGAAATGGAGAGCTGTTCCCAGCAAAATGCAGGTTGCTTCACGCCTCCTATAGTCTACTGTCTCTGTCCTACCATCCCTCCCACTAAGCTGAGTTTGCTTTAGACCAGGCAGGTGCTCCAGAGCTCTTCCCCTTCCTGGTAGCTGAGGATGCCTGGAGAGCAAGGGCCTCACCTTGCATATCTTTGATAGCCCTGGGCCTGGCACACGCAAAGCCCCATAACTGCTTCTTGAATGCACTCACCACCAAACCTCTAGCCCACGAAGACATCCTCCTCTGCAACAGACTCCGTGGGCCCCCTACAGTTCCACAGGCTGGACACAGTCCCTGGGAAAATTAGTGACGGGAAACAGCCTGCAGAACTGCGATTATTTGGGATTTGTTCTTCATGTTAATGCGATGCTGGTTCCTTTCTGTTTCTTTAATGCCATTTTGTACTAAGGTAGTTCAAAGTTCTTTACAAACAGCTAGTAATTAATTCAACTTCATTAAGGCCAATTAATCCAGGATTAATTATAAATTTGCCCAGAGGAAGTTATTATACTTTGCTCTTTGATTTGAGTTTTGGCTTTAAAGAGTCTTTCAGGAGTGAAATGGAAATTTCCCTTTTCTCTGAGGGTATCTACCTCGCCAGTAATTGTGTTAACCATGTGCCTTCCTCAGTAGGTCCCATGCCAACCTCTAAGGAGGCTGCCACCCAGGTCAGCTGAGCTACATAACATTCAGCATTAATCAGATCTGCCAATGCCACATTTAGCCACGGGTCAAGGAAGCCTGATATAGTGGCAAGAACTCCTCCACGCGGGTTCAAATCATGGCTGTACCTCATGCTGGCAGTGTGACTTCACCATCTCTTCCACCTGCAAAATGGGCATCACAGTGTTTCACAAGATCATTGTGGTCGGTAGTGGTCAGCACCTACTCCCTCTTCTTTTGTAAGAGCTCCTCAATTATCCTTGGAAAGTTCTTCCCTCCTTTCTTCCAGGTCTCGAGGGGGCTGACCTCAGTCTCAGTTCCAGGGATGAGCCTGAGACTCAGTACTAACCAAGCAGCATGGTCCATCCTGCTGGCCGCAGTGACTGGATTGTTAGTGAACCTAACAACCCAAGTTGGCCTAGTCACAGCCAACCCTGGCATATTTCCCAGGGCAAGCAATACGAAAGTGTACTCTTTGCCACTGGACTGAAATCTGGGGCATGCAGGCCTGGGCTATGATGGGACCTCAGGAGAGGAGACCAGCCATGGCAGAATAGTGGCCCCCACAAAGATGTTCACATCCCGGAGCCAGTGAATATGTTACCTTCCATGGCCAAAGGGACTCCACAGATGTGATTAAGATGAGGGTCTTGGCGGGGCACTGTGGCTCACGCCTGTAATCCCAGCACTTTGGGAGGCTGAGAAGGGCGAATCACAAGGTCAGGAGTTTGAGACCAGCCTGACCAACATAATGAAACCTCGTCTCTACTAAAAATACAAAAATTAGCTGGGCATAGTGGCCCATGCCTGTAGTCCCAGCTACTCGAGAGGCTAAGGCAGGAGAATTGCTTGAACCCAGGAGGCGGAGGTTGTGGTGAGCCAAGATTGTGCCACTGAACTCCAGCCTGGGCAACAGAGCGAGACTCTGTCTCAAAAAAAAAAAAAAAAATAGATAAGGGTCTTGAGATGAGGAGATTATCCTGGAGTATCAGGGTGGGCCTGGTGTAATCATGAAGGGACCTTATAAGAGAGTGGCAGGAGGGTCTGGGCACTGTGGCTCAGGCCTGTCACCCCAGAACTTTGGGAGGCTGAGGTGGGTGGATCATCTGAGGTCAGGAGTTCGAGACCAGCCTGGCCAACATGGTAAAACCCCGTCTCTAATAAAAATACAAAAATTAGCTGAGTGTGGTGGCGTGCGCCTGTAATGCCAGCTACTCTGGAGGCTGAGGTGACAGAATTGCTTAAACCTGGCAGGCAGAAGTTGCAGTGAACCAAGATCACCCCTCTACATTCCAGCCTGGGCGACAGAGTGAGACTCCATCTCAAAAACAAAAAAAGGAGAGAGGCAGGAGGGTCAGAAGCAGAAAGATGACATCATAAGAAAGACTCAACTGGCCATTTTTGGCTTTGAAGGTGGAAAGGGGACCTGAGTCCAGGCATGTGGGCAGCCTGGAGAAGGCGAGAAAATGGATTCTTCCCCAGAATCCCTGGAAAGGAACGTGGCCCTAACAACACGTTCATTTTAGCCCAGTGAGACCCATTTTGGACTTCTGGCCTCCAAAACTGTAAGATTATTGATTTGTGTTGTTTTAAGCCACTAAATATGTTATGGCAGCAATAGGAAACCAATATAAACACTTAACTGGAGTGTCAAATCTATGTTCGTATTTATTGATTAAATGGATGGCTCCTAATTCCACCCTACCTCATCAGAGCTCTGCAAGGTCTTTACCAGGCTTATTCCACATCCTAGACCCAGGACCACAATTTGACAGTTAAGATCTTCACCAGAAGAGACCTCAATGCCTGCCCTCTTGTCAGACCAGCTGCATTCATCCAACCTACCCTGATTGACCTCTGACCCCACTACCATGTGCTCCAGACAGGACCCATGGGAGCTCCAGGCTCGGCCACGTTCCCAGGCAGACTCTGGGAGTCAGCGGATGTGGCCAGGTTTACCCATTGCGTTGGGACGTGCCTGCTGAAACGGAAACACTGCTCCCAGCAGAGGACTTTATGGTGGGAGGCATGGGCTTTGCCCTTGCTAACCTGACCTCTGTCCCCAGCCCAATTTCCCGTCTCTAGGCTCCAAAGCAGTTCCTGTGAGTGCCTAGGGGTACTGTTTCCATTTAAAAAATATGGCAAGTGCTCTCTTCAGCAGCACATATACTAAAATTAGAATGAGACAGAGACAGCATGGCCCCTGGGCAAGGATGACACACAAAACAAAAATTAATTAAAAACATAATCATGAAGGGGGAAAAGCATGACAAAATCTACTGCTAAGGCCAGGACACACAGAGAGAAGGCAACTATTAAGAAAAGAAAGCTGAGCACGGTGGCTCGTGCCTATAATCCCAGCACTTTGGGAGGCCGAGGCGGGTGGATCACCTGAGGTCAGGAGTTCGAGACCAGCCTGACCAATATGGTGAAACCCCGTCTCTACTAAAAATGAAAAATTAGCTGGGTGTTGTAGTGGGCATCTGTAATCCCAGCTACTCAGGAGTCTGAGGCAGGAGAATCGCTTGATCTGGGGAGGCAGAGGTTGCCGTGAGCCGAGATTGTGCCACTTACACTCCGGCCTGGGTGACAGAGCGAGACTCTGTCTCAAAAGAAAAGAAAAGAAAAGAAAAGAAAAAAAGTCCATGTCTTCATACTCCAAGGTGTTGACACCATGTGTTATGCCCCTCCCAGTGCTAGAGTCCCTCATTAAGATCTCATTTAATTATCTTAATAATCCTGTGAGTGTTGTCATCACTGTTTTACAGCAGAGGGGAATGAGAGGTAACTTGCTCAGAAAAAGCAGGATTTGAACCTGGGACATTTTGTGAGGTAAGGCTTACCAGGCCACCTGGAGCATCAGGACAGACCCCTCTGTTCCCAGACGAACCTTGGTTTATGTCAGATTTCCCCAGCCTTGGTGATATGAAGAGCCATCTTCAGAATTTCTGTGCTATCTAGGGAACACCTATGACTTAATTACCATTTTTCTTTCAATTGACCTGCTTTTTTTACTTAATGAAGTATTTCTCCATACATAGAAAACCATTATAACTTACCAGAAATAGTCAGAAACCACAAAAATAAATACAATAAAAACAACAGTAGGCTTTCCAAAGAATCTTTAATAAAAAGGAAGTCTAGCAAGTACAGTCATGTGTCCCTTAATGCCAGGGATACTTTTTGAGAAATGTGTCTTTAAGTGATTTTGTCATTGCATGAACATCATAGAGTATACTTATACAAACCTAGATGGTATATATACTAGTAAATATACATTTTTTTAATCTGGAAAACTAAATGTCCCAACATCTTTACTGAATATTGAATATCAATTATTTCCCCTACTTGATCTGAAATGCCAATGTCAAGTTTCTAATCAGGTTTTTATATATGCTCCATGATAATCTTATGAGACCACTATCTTATATGTGGTCTGTCATTGACCAAAATGTTGCTATGGGACACATGACGGTATGAGGAAGGAATTAAAGGCACACTCCAGTACACTAAAACTTACTAAAAGAAAACTAAAAAGGCAATAGTGTTCTCACTATATAAATCAATGTTAGTTACTTTTATGACTTTGTACCACCTATAAGGTGTCAGCAAAATCATCTCTATCCCTTTTGGCCCCAGAAGTCAGCCCAGGTCTGAAATAATAAGCATGCCCATTAGCTTGCCAATAATTAGAAAGGTGGATAAGTCCAAATGCTGCTGAAAACGTGGGAGCAGGTGCAGGGAGTGTGCCTATAATCTAAAAGCCAGCAGCCCCACCCCTGAGTAAGCTTTGTTCTCAGGTCTATTAGCACACAAGGATGAGCCCAGATCACGCCACTGCCCTCTAGCCTGGGTAACAGAGGGAGACTCCGTCTCAAAAAAAAAAAAAACAAACAAACAAAAAAACTTGTATCATATCATATTGAGGAAGTTTTTAAAAATTTTTTAATTATATGGGTACATAGTAGGTACATACATTTAAGGAGTACATGAGATATTTTGACACAGGCATACAATGTATAATCACATCAGGGTAAATAAGGTATTCACCATTTCAAGCGTACATAATTTATTTGTGTTACAAACAACCCAATTATACTCTTTTAGTTATTTTTAAATGTACAATAAGTTATTGTTGACTATAGTCACGCTGCTGTGCTATCAAACACTAGATTTTATTCATTCTAACTATAGTTTTGTACCCATTAAGCATTCCCACTCCGCATCCCCACTACCCTTCCCAGCCTCTTGTAACCATTATTGTACTCCCTATCTCATGGGAGTACAATTAAAAATTCTTTTAATTTTTAGTGTCGACAAATGAGTGAGAACATACAAAATTTGTCTTTCTGTGCCTGGCTTATTACACTTAACATCATCACCTCCAGTTACATCCATGTTGTTGCAAGTGACAGGATCTCATTCTTTTTTATTTTCTTTATCCATTCACCTGTTAATGGACACTTAGGATGCTTCTAAATTGTGGCTATTGTGAATAGTGCTGCAGTAAACACGGGAGTACAGATGTCTCTTAGACATACTGATTACTTTTTCTCCAGATTGTCACCAGCATTTTTTATTGCCTGTCTTTTGGATAAAAGCCATTTTAACTGGAGTGAGATGATACCCATTGTACTTTTGATTTGCATCTCTCTGATGATCAGTGATGGTGAGCACCTTTTCATATGCCTACTTGCCATTTGTATGTCTTCTTTTGAGAAACACCTATTCAGATCTTCTGCCTGTTTTTTCTAAATTGGATTATTAGATTTTTTCCTATTGAGTTGTTTGAGCTCCTTATATATTCTGGTTATTAATCCCTTGTCAGGTAAATAGTTTGCAAATATTTTCCCCCATTCTGTGGGTTGTCTCTTCACTTTGTTGATTGTTTCTTTGTTGTGCAGAGACTTTTTAACTTTATATAATCTCATTTGCCCATTTGTGTTTTGGTTGTCTGTGTTTATGGGGTATTACTCAAGAAATCTTTGCCCAGAAGGATGTCCTGGAGAGTTTCTCCAATGTTTTATTTTAGTGGTTTCATAGTTTGAGGTCATAGATTTAAGTCTTTAATCCATTTTGATTTGATTTTTGTATATGGAGAGAGATAGGGGTCTAGTTTCATTTTCTCTCGTATGGCTATCCACCATTTATTGAAGAGGCTATCCTTTCACCAGTGTATGTTCTTGGCACCTTTGTCTAATGAGTTCATTGTAAATGTATGGATTTGTTTCTGGGTTCTCTATTCTATTCCATTAGACTATGTTTTTGTTTTTGTTTTTAATGCCAGAACCATGCTGTTTTGGTTACTATAGCTCTGTAGCATAATTTGAAGTCAGGTTATGTGATTGCTACAGTTTTGTTCTTTTTGCTCAGGATGGCTTTGGTTATCCTGAGTCTTTCATGGTTGCATATAGATTTTAGGATTTTTTTTTCTATTTCTGTGAAAAATGTGATTGGTATTTTTATAGGGATTGCACTGAATCTGTAGATTGCTTTGGGTAGTATGAACATTTTAACAATATTGATTTTTTCAATTCATAAACATGGACTATCTTTCATTTTTTGTGGCCTCTTCAATTTCCTGCATGTTTTATAGTTTTCACTGTAGAGATCTCTGACTTCTTTGGTTGTTTATTCTTAGTATTTTATTGTATTTGTAGATATTGCAAATGGGATTTTCTTGATTTCTTTTTCAGACTGTTCACAGTTGGCATATAGAAATGCTACTGATTTTTGCATGTTGACTTTATATCCTACAACTTTATTGAATTTGTTTATCACTTTTAACAGTTTGTGTGTCGGTGTGTTTGTGTGTGTGTGCATGTAATCTTTAGTTTTTTGTAAATATAAGATCATATCTGCAAGGAAGAATAATTTGACCTCTTTCTTTCCGATTTGAATGCCTTTTATTTCTTTGTGTTGTCTGATTGCTCTAGCTAGGACTTCCAGTACTATGTTGAATAATAGTAGCAAAGGGGCATCCTTGTCTTGTTCTGGATTATAGGGGAAAGGCTTTCAGTTTTCCCCCATTCAGTATGACACTAGCTGTGGGTCTGTTGTATATGGCTTGTATTGTGTTGAGGTAGGTTCCTTCTATGCCAAGTTTTTTGAGGGCTTTTACTATAGTAGGATATTGAATTTTATCAAATGCTTTTTCAGCACCACTTGAAATGACCATATGGCTTTTGTCCTTCATTTTATTGATATGATGTACCACACTGGTTGATTTGCATATGTTGAAACATCCTTGCATCCCTATGGTAAATCCCACTTGGTTATGATGAATGATCTTTTTAATGTGTTGTTGAATTCACATTGCTAATATTTTGTTGAGGACTTTTGCGTTAATGTTCATCAGGGATATTGGCCTGTAGTTGTCTTTTCTTCTTTTGATACGTCTTTGCCTGATTTGGGTATCAGGGTAACACTGACCTCATAAAATAAGTTTGGAAGTATTCCCTCCTCTATTTTTTGGGATAGTTTGAGGAGGATTGATATTAGTTCTTCTTTAAATGTTTGGTAAAATTCAGCACTAAAGCCATTGGGTCTCAGGTCTTTCTTTGCTGGGAGACTTTTTATTACAGCTTTGATCTTGTTACTTGTTATTGGTCTATTCAGGTTTTGGATTCCTTCATGGTTCAATCTTGGCAGGTTGTATATGTCAAGAACTTATCTATTCTTCTAGGTTTTCCAATTTATTGACATATAGTTGTTCATAGTAGTTGCTCACGATCCTTTGAATTTCTGTGGCATCAGTTGTAATGTCTCCCTTTTCATCTGTGATTTCATTCATTTGGGTCTTCTCTGTTTTTTTCTTAGTCTGACTAAAGATTTGTTGATATTATCTTTTCAAATAACCAACTCTTCATTTCATTGCTTTTTTGTATTTTTATTTCAATTTTATTTAATTCTGCTCTGATCTTCTTTTCTTTTACTAATTTTAGATTTGGTTTGTTCTTGCTTTTCTAGTTATTTAAGATGCACCAGTAAGTTATTTATTTAAAGTGTTTCAATTTTTTTTCATGTAGGCACTTATTGTTTTGTGGCCTAACGTGGTCTATCCTTAAGAATGATCCATGTGCTGAGGAGAATAATGTGTATTCTGCAGCCGTTGGAAGAAATGTTCTGTAAATATCTATTAAGTCCATTTGGTCTATAGCAGATTAAGTCCCATGTTTCTTTGTTCATGATCTTTAGGTCTAATACTATTTGCTTTCTATATGTGGTGATCGAATGTTGGATGCATATATATTTACAATTGTTATATCCTCTTGCTGAATTGGTCCCTTTATCATTATATAATGATCTTCTTTGTCTCCTTATATAGTTTTTGTCTTGAAATCTATTTTTTCTGCTGTAAGTATAGCTACTCCTGCTCTTTTTTGGTTTTCATTTGCATGGAACATTTTTTCCATCCCTTTATTTTCCATCTGTGTGTGTCTTTATAGGTGAAATATGTTTCTTATAGGCAATAGATCATTGTTTTTTTTTTTTTTTTTGACAGGGTCTCACTCTGTCACCCAGGCTGGAGTACAGTGGCATGATTATTGCTCACTGCAGCCTTGACCTTCCAGGGTCAAGTGTTCCTCCCACCTGAGCCTCCCAAGTGACTGGGACTACAGGTGCATGCCACCATGCCCGGCAAATTTTTGTATTTTTTGTAGAGATGGGGTTTCACCATGTTGCGCAGGCTAGTCTCAAACTCCTGGGCTCACCACCCACATTGGCTTCCTAAAGTGCTGGGATTACAGGCATGAGCCACCACACCTGGCAGGTCTTGTTTTTTCAATCCATTCAGCTACTCTGTGTCTTTTTATTGGAAAGTTTAGTCCATTTACATTCACTATTATTACTGATAAGTAAGGGCTCACTACGGTCATTTTGGTTTTTTTTTTCTGATTATTTGTGTCTTCTCTTCCTTCCTTTTTTCCTTCCTTCCTGTTTTCCTTTTTGTGATGGTGATTTTCTCTGGTGGTATCTTTAAATTTCTTGCTTTCTATTTTTTGTGCATGCGTTGTAGGTTTTTTAATTTGTGGTTACCATGAGGCTTGCAAATAACATCTGCATAGTTTATTTTCAACTAATGACAACTTAACACTAATTGCCAAAAAAAAGAACAAAGAGAAAACTAATTAAAAATTCTACAGTTTAACTTCATCCCCCTGCTTTTTAACTTTTTGTTGTTTCTATGATATATATCTTATTATACTGTCATGTCTTGAAAAGTTATTGTAGTTATTATTTTTGATAAGTTCATCTTTTATTCTTTCTTCTTAAGATACGAATAGTTTACACACCACAATTACAGTGCTACACTACTCTGTGGTTGTCTGTGTACGTACTATTACCAATGAGTTTTGCACCTTCAGGTGATTTCTTATTGCTCATTAACATCCTTTTCTTTCAGACTGAAGAATTCACTTTAGCATTTCTTGTAGGACAAGTCTGGTGTTGATTAAATCCCTCAGCCCTTGTTTGTCTAAGAAAGTCTTTATTTCTCTTTTATGTTTGAAGTATATTTTTGCTGGGTATGCTATCCTAGTATAAAATATTTTTTCTTCAGCAGTTTATTTATTTATTTACTTATTTTGAGATGGAGTCTTGCTCTGTAGCCCAGGCTGGAGTGCAATGGCACAATCTTGGCTTACTACAACTTCCGCCTCCTGGGTTCAAGCGATTCTCCTGCTTCAGCCTCCTAAGTAGCTGGGACTACAGGTGCATGCCGCCACACCTGGCTAATTTTTGTTCTTTTAATAGATATGAGGTTTCACCCTATTTGCCAGGCTGGTCTCGAACTCCTGACATCAGGTGATCCACCCGCCTCGGCCTCCCAAAGTGCTGGGATTACAGGCATGAGCCACCATGCCCAGCCTTCCTTTAGCACTTTCAATATGTCATGCCACTCTTTCCAGGCCTGTAAGGTTCCCACTGAGAAGTCTGCTGCCAGATATATTGGAGCTCCTTTGTATGTTATTTGTTTCTTTTCTCTTGCTGCTTTTAGGAGTCTTTCCTTATTCTTGACCTTTGGAAGTTTGATTATTAAATGTCTAGATATAGTCTTATTTGGGTTATATCTGGTGTTCTATAACCTTCTTATACTTGAATATTAATTTTTTTTCCTCTAGGTTTGGAAAGTTCTGTTTATTATCCCTTTGAATAAACTGTCTACCCTGATCTTTCTTTCTACTTTCTTTTAAGGCCAATAACTCTTAGATTTACCCTTTTGAGGCTATTTGCTAGATTTAGTAGACATGCTTCATTCTTTTTTTTAAATTTTTCCCCTCTTTGCATTTTATTTTCCTTTTCATCTTCCTCTTCTTTTTTTTTTTAGACAAAGTTTCTCACCCAGGCTGGAGTGCGGTGGTGCAATCACAGCTCACTGCTGCCTTGACCTCCCAGGCTCAATTGATTCTCTCACTTCAGCCTCCCAAGTAGCTGGGACTACAGACATGTGCCACCACACCCAGCTCATTTATTGTTATTTTTATTTTTATTTTTTGTAGAGATGGGGTTTCACCATGTTGCCCAGGCTGGTCTCGAACTTCTGGCTTCACTTGGTCTGCCACCCTTGGCCTCCCAAAGTGCTGGGATTACAGGCATGAGCCACCATGCCTGGCCACCTCTGTGTATTTTCAAATAGCCTGTCTTTTTTTTTTTTTTTTTTGACAGTTTCACTCTTGTTGCCCAGGCTGGAGTGCAGTGGCATGATCTCTGCTTACTGCAACCTCTGCCTCCCAGGTTCAGGTGATTCTCCTGCCTCAGCCTCCTGAGTAGCTGGATTACAGGCGCCTACCACCGCGCCCAGGTAACATTTGTATTTTTAGTAGAGAAGGGGTTTCACTTTGTTGGCCAGGCTGGTCTCAAACTCCTGACCTCAAGTGATCTGCCTACCTCGGCCTCCCAAAGTGCTGGGATTACAGACATAAGCCACTACGCCTGGCCAAATAGCTTGTCTTCAAGCTCACTAATGCTTCTGCTTGATCAGTTCTGCTGTGGACTGATGCATGCTTTGTATATCAACTGAATTTTTCAGCTCCAGAAGTTCTGCTTGATTATTTTTAATTATTTCAATCTCTTTGTTAAATTTATCTGATAGGATTCTGAATTCCTTCTCTGCATTATCTTGAATTTCGTTGCGCTTCCTCAAAAGAGCTATTTTGAATTGTCTGTCTAAAAGGTCACATATCTGTCACTTCAGGATTGATCACTGGTGCCTTATTTCATTTGTTTGGTGAGGTCATGTTTTCACGGATAGCCTTGATGATGTGGATATTTGTCAATATCTGGGCATTGAAGAGTTAGGTATTTATTACAGTCTTTGCAGTCTGAGCTTGTTTGTACCCATCCTTCTTGGGAAGCCTTGCCAAGCATTCAAAGGGAATTGAGTGTTGTAATCTGTCTTTGGTCACTGCAGCTGTATCTGCACTAGGGGGCACCCCAAGCCCAATAAAGCTGTGACTTTCAGCTGCATAGAGGTGCTACCTTGGTGGTCTTGGGTAAGATCTGGGAGAATTCCCTGGATTACCAGACAGAGACTCTTGTTCTCTTCCCGTACTTTCCCAGGAACAAACAGAGTCTCTCTGATAAGCTGTCTGAAGCTGGGGGAGGGATGATACAAGCACCTCTGTAGCAACACCACTGGGACTTTGTTGGGTCAGACCCAAACCCAGCCCAATACTGTGTCTCACCCAAGGGCCATGGTGACCACTGCCTGGCTACTGCCAATGTTCACTTAAGGCCTGAAAGCTCTAAAATCAGCATCTGGTGAATCTAGCCAGGCTTATGTCCTTCCCTCAGAGTGACAAGCTCATCCCCCAGCCCACGGCAGGTCCAGAAATGCCATCCAGGAGCTGGGGCCTGGAGTCAGAAACCTTAGGAATCCATTTGGTGCTCTAGTCTACTGTAGCCGAGCTGGTGCCCAAACCGCAATACAAAGTCCTTTCCACTCTTCCCTCCCTTTTCCTCATGCAGAAGAACTCTCCCTGTGGTCACAACCAACCCAGGCCTATAGCAAGAACTGCCTGGCTACCGCTGATGCTCACTCAAGATCCAAGGGCTCTCTCTTCAAGTTGTGTTGAATACTGCTGGGCCTGGGTCTCTCCCTTCAGGGCAGTAGGCTCCCCTCTGGCCCAAGGCAAGTCCAAAAATGTCACCCAGGAGCTAAGGCCTGGAATTGGGAAACCCAAAAGACCACTCGGTGCTCTACCCCACTGTGGCTGAGGTGGTGTCCAAGTTGCAAGACAAAGTCCCTTTTATTCTTTCCTTTCTTCAAACAGAAAGGGTTTCTTTCTGTGGCCATCACAACTGGGAATGTGCTGGTTCACCTGAAGCCAGCATGGCACTGGGTCTCACCCAAGGCTCGTGGTAAATACTGTCTGGCTACCACTGATGTTTATTCAAGGCCCATGCACTCTACTCAGCAGATGATGAATCCTGCCAAGTCTGGGTTTTCCTCCTTCAAGACGCTGCATTCTCTTTTGTCCCAGGGTGTGTCTAGAAATGTCGTCTGGGAGCTAGAGCCTGAAATAAGGGCCTCAGGACTCTACCTGCTGCCCCATTCTACTGTGGCTAAGCTAGTATCCAAGTTGCAAGACAAAGTCCCCTTTACTCTCCTCTCTGCTCTCCTCAAGCAGAAGGAAGGAGTCTCTCCGGGAGCTGCAAGCTGCGCTGCCTGGCTTTGGGGGAGTGGTGATGCAAGCACTCCCTTGATTGCCCTGGGTATTGTCTTGCTAGGTCACATGCACCCCACGTTCACTGGCTCCAAGCCTAGCAGAGCACCAAGATTTGCCCAGGAATTGCAGTCCTTGTGGCCTACACTGCCTTCCAAGTTTCTGTAGAACCCCAGAGCACTTTAGCCTGCGGTGATGAGGCTGGCCGGAACTCAGTTTCTGACCACTGGGATGGATGATTCCCCTCTGGCTAGGGCTTGTCTAAATGCTCTCTCCGTGGGTGCTGGTTGAATTCTGCCTTGTGTTGCTTTCTGCTGTGACAGGGCAGCACTGAGTTCCAGTACAAAGTCCCATAATCTCTCTGCCAAGTACATAGATTCTCTCTCTGTGCCATGAGGCCTCAGGCAGGGGATGAGAGAGGGGTAGTGCAGGTGAGTCAAGACTGTCTTTCCTACTCTCTTTAGTGCCTCTTTCTTTGATGTGATGTTAAAACCAGGGACTGTGACTGCTCACCTGATTTTTGGTTCTTATGAAGGTGCCTTCTTGTGTGGATAGTTTTTCAATTTGGTTTCCTGCTGGCGGCAGGTGGGGGCAATTTCTGGAGGGTGCATTTGGCCATCTTGCTCCGCCTCCCTCTCATAGGCAACTCCTAGTTGTTTTTTGGATCATGAAAGTGTATTGGATTTTGTCAAATTTTTTTTCTGAATCAGTTGAGTTGATCATGTGGGGCTTTTCCCCTTCACTCTATTAATATGGTATATTACACTGATTTTTGTATGTTAAACCACCTTTGTATTCCTAGAATAAATCCCACTGGTCATGGTGATAATCCTTTAACACACTGCTAAATTGGGTTTGCTAGAATTTTGTTGAGAATTGTTGCATCTATATTCATACAGGATCTTGATCTGTTTTTTTTTGTTGTTGTTGTTGGTTTGTTTTACAGTGTTTGTTTGTTTGTTTTGTTTTGTTTTTTGAGATGGAGTCTCGCTCTGTGACCCAGGCTGGAGTGCAGTGACGTGATCTTGGCTCACTGCAACCACCACCTCCCAGGTTCAAGTGATTCTCTGCCTCAGCCTCCCAAGTAACTGGGATTACAGGCACATGCCACCACACCCAGATAGTTTTTGTATTTTTAGTAGAGATGGGGTCTTGAACTCCTGATCTCAGGTGATCTGCCCTCCTTGGCCTCCCAAAGTGCTGGGATTACAGGTATGAACCACCATGCCCAGCCTGTTTTATAATGTTTTTATCTGGCTTTGTTATCAGGGCAGCACTGGCCTCATAGAATGCATTAGAAAGTGTTCTCTTTAGTTTTTTGGAAGAGTTTGGGAAGGACTGGTGTCTCACTTTTTCACCCAAGCTAAAGTGCAGTGGTGTGATCAAAGCTCACTACAGCCTCAAACTCCTGGGCCTGAGTGATCCTACCGCCTCAGCCTCCCAAGTAGCTAAGACTACAGGTGGGCACAATCATGCCTGGCAAATAAAATTGAAAAAAAATAAAGGCCGGGCAGGGTGGCTCACGCCTGTAATCCCAGCACTTTGGGAGGCCGAGGTGGGCAGATCACGACGTCAGGAGATCGAGACCATCCTGGATAACACGGTGAAACCCGGTCTCTACTAAAAATACAAAAAAATAGCCAGGCGTGGTGGCAGGCGCATGTAGTCCCAGCTACTCGGGAGGCTGAGGCAGGAGAATGGCATGAACTCGAGAGGTGGAGTTTGCAGTGAGCCGAGATCGCGCCACTGCACTCCAGCCTGGGGGACAGAGTAAGACTCCGTCTCAAAAATAAATAAATAAATAAATAAATAAATAAATAAATACATAAATAAATAAAATTTTTTTTTTTTTTTTTTTGTAGAGATGGGGTCTTGCTATTTCCCAACCTGGTCTTGAACTCCTGACCTCAAACAATCCTCCCACATCGGCCTCCCAAAGTGCTGAGGTTACAGGCATGAGCCATTGCTCCTGGCCTGGTGTTAGTTCTTTAAATGTTTGGTAGAAACCAGTAGTTAAGCCATTCGGCTCTAGGCTTTTCTTTATAGGGAGACTTTTGGTTACTGACTCAGTCTCCTTACTTGATTACAGTTAAGATTTTCTACTTTTTCTTGAGTCAGTTTTGGTAGTCTGTTCACAGTTTTTTTCCACAAATTTGTCTATTTCATCCAGATTATCCAATTTGTTTATAATTATTTACAGTATTCGCTTATATTCCTTTTATTTCTGTATAGTAAATAGTAATGTTCCTGCTGTAATTTCTGATTTTATCATTAGTCTTCTCTCTTGTTTTCTTAGTCAATCTAGCTAAAGATTTGTCAATTTTGTTATTCTTTTCAAAGAACCAACTTTTAGTTTTTTTATTTTCTCTGTTTTTCTGTTTCTCTATTTTGTCTCCATTTTAATCTTTTTAAAAATTTTTGGTAAAAGATACGTAGCATAAACGATACCATTTTAACCATTTTATGTGTACAGTTAGGCGGCTTTAGGTACATTCACATTGTTGTGCAACCATCACTATCATCCATCTCCAGAACTTTTTCATCTTCCCAGATGGAAACCCTGCACCAATTGAATTAGCTCTCTATTTTTCCTTTCCCCAGCCCCTGGCAACCACCATTGTACTTTTTGTCTTTATGAATTTAACTACTTCCTCATAGTGGAGCCATACTGTACTTGTCTTTTTGTGACTGGCTTATTTTACCTAGCATGATGGCTCAATATTCATCTATATTGTAACATGTCAGAATTTTCTTCTTTTTTAGGGCTTAATAATATTCTATTATATGTATATACCATCTTTTAAAAATCCATTATCTGTCAATGGATGCTTATATTGCTTCTGCCTCTTTACTACTGGGAATACTGCTATTCTCTAATCTTTATTGTTTCTTTTCTTTTGCTAGTTTTGGATTTAGCTTGTTCTTTTGTTGTTGTTGTTGTTGTTTTTCCTGGTCCCTGTAGGTGTACAGTTAGGTTATGAATTTGAGATCTTTCTTCTTTTTTATTATAGCTGTTCATAGCTATAAACTTCTCTCTTAACACTGCTTTTGCTGCATCCCATAAGTTTCGGTACGTTGTTCTTTTGTTGTCATTCATTTCAAAGTATTTTCTGATTTCCCTTATGATTTCTTCTTGACCTGTTAATTGTTTAAGAATGTATGGTTTAATTTCCACATATTTGTGATTTTTCCTTCTGTTATTGATTTCAAGTTTTATTCCATTGTGATTGGAAAAGTATTATGTATTATTTCAATTTTTAACATTTATTAAGACTCATTTTGTGGCACCCTGGACTTTTGAGATAGCAGATTCATGGGAGCAGCAAGAGTAAAAGCTACATTGCACTGGGCTGAAGCCTGGGAAGGGAAAGGGGGGCACTTGGCAAGATGAGAACTGTGCTAGGAAAGAAATGCAAGTGATGACATTAGGAGGGGGAGGAGGGAGAAAGATTGCACATATCCTGTGGGAATGATCAGGGAGGATAGATGGAAATACAAGAAAAGGAAGGTAATGGGTGGAGCAAGGCCTTTGAGAGATGGAATGGGGCCCAGGTTGCTAACCTGAGACCCAGATAGTAAAGATGCCTTGGCTAGAAGGAAGGTCATACCTGCCTTTGAGTCGCATACAAGGAGAATCCAGCAGTGCTTGGCACATAGTAGAAGCTTAGGGTAGCGCCTGAGAGTTGTTTCCCAATCTATCTTCTCCTCTCTTTACATAGGAATTGAATTTTTAACTGGGCACATATCCATCCAGTGTAAGACTACATTTCTCAGCCTCCTTTGCAGCTAGTTCTAGCTATTTGATTAAGTGCTGGCCCCTGGGATATGAGTAGAAATGATGGTGCAACTTCAATATCAAGGTTAAAGGGAAGAAGTATGTCCTCTTCTTCCCCTTTTTTCCTTCTAGTTGGTGCAAATTCAGCCCTTTTGGGAGGAGTTTGAGCAGCTATCTTGGACCACACGATAGACAATGTGTGTGGGGAGTGGCAGAGCCACATCATAGAAGGACCATAGGCCCTTACTGATTGTAAAGCCAGCCCACCTCCTGGCATGCCTGCTTGGACTTTCTGTGAGATAAAGTGACTTCTCTCTTGTTTGATCCACTGTTATTTTAGATCTCTCTGTTACTGCAGCTGAACTAATCTTTTAACTAATGTAACATTTACTGCTGGGTGCTATGGCTAATGCCTGTAATCCCAGCATTTTGGGAGGTCAAGGCAGGAGGATTGCTTGAGTTCAGGAATTCAAGACCAGCTTAGCCAACACAGCAAGACCCCTGTCTTTACAAAAAAATAGAAAAAATTAGCTGGGTGTGGTGGCGCATGCCCAGCTACTCGGGAGGCTGAGATGGGAGGATCACTTGAAGCCCCCCAAAAAACTAACACAACGTTTATGTATTTATGTATGTATGTATGTATGTATGTATGTATGTATGTATGTATGTATTTATTATTTTTGAGACAGGGTCTCACTCTGTCGCCCAGGCTGGAGTGCAGTGGCGCAATCTCGGCTCACTGCAACCTCTGCCTTCTGGGTTCAAGCAATTCTTCTGCCTCAGCCTCCCGAGTAGCTGGGACTACAGGTGTGTGCTGCCATGCCTGGCTAATTTTTGTATTTTTAGTAGAGATGGGGTTTCACCATGTTGGCCAGGCTGGTCTCGAACTCCTGACCTCAAGTGATCTGCCCACCTCGGCCTCCCAAAGTGTTGGGATTACAGGCGTGAGCCACTGCACCTGGCCAAATAACAACATTTAATCATTACTTGGGTTGCTCCAGTTGAGGCTGGAGACCATGACTGTGCAGTGGTTACAGGGCACCACTGGGTAGTTGCATCCTGCCACACACAGTAGCCCTCAGGAGGCAGTGAAGAAGGCAGAGGGAGGCTTGACCTGGGCTTGTGGGTTCAAAGTTCAGGTGTGATAGAAGTCAAGGTAAGGAGGGAGCAGAAGGGTCAGGAAACAAGTGATTGAGATAATCAAGCTTGGGCTGGAGAAAGAGAGGTCAAAGGCCTGGAGGTGAAAGAGCAAAGGTCGTGGGAGTAAGGGAATGAGAGGGTCGTGGGAGTGAGGGAATGAGAGCTGGCAGGTCTAGGGCTGTCACAGCACAATTCTGGAATGTAGTAGTCCACACAATTACTTACATATGTGTCACTACATTGATATGGATTTTCAGTACCCACAGATAGAAATCTAACTCAAACATCTTAAGCCCCAAAGTAAATGCCATGTTACACTGCAAGTAAGGCGAGGATGATGCAGGGATATAAAGGATTTCATCGGGAATCTCTTTCTGTCAGCTTTCCTTTCCTCTGTCTTGGCTTCATTCTCAGGTAGAGTCTCCCCATGAAGTAACAAAGAAGACCAGCCTGCAGATCCATTACCTACATTTTCTCTCCTGATATGTCCAGTAAATTGCCAGGACTGACTGTCATTGAACTAGCTGCTCACATTTCTGAGCCAATTACAGTGTCTGAGAGGATGGGATACTGATAGGTCAGGCCAGGGCCACGTGTTTACCACTGAAACAAACATGGGGTGTGGGGTCAGTTCGCCCAAACTACGCAGACTCAAAGTGGGAGAACGGTCATTTCCTGAAGGAAAACGAGAGTGGTGGTGCGCAGAAGTGGGATGGACGCTGGTCAGGAATAACCCTGTCCACTGCAGCAGGCCTCACTTGCTGTTTATTGGACTTGTGTAGCTTGGATACTGGCCTGCCACATTGTTTTCTGTTGAAATGAAAGAAATTGTCTGACTTTGCAGCCAGGTCCAGCATCTTTACACACTGGATCTGTGTCAGGCATTTGCTCAATTTGTGACCTTGGACAAACCCTGTCCCTTCCTGGGGCCTCAGTTCCGTCACATGTAAAATGAGAATGCTAGGCCAGATCAATGACCTTTTTTTTTTTTTTTGAGATGAGTCTTGCTCTGTTGCCCAGGTTGGAGTGCAATGGCACGATCTCGGCTCACTGCAACCTCCACCTCCTGAGTTCAAGCGATTCTCGTGCCTCAGCCTCCTGAGTAGCTGGGGTTACAGGCGCCTGCCATCACGCCCAGGTAATTTTTGTATTTTTAGTAGAGATGGGGTTTTGCCATATTGGCCGGGCTGGTTTCGAACTCCTGACCTCAGGTGATCCACCTGCCTCGGCCTCCCAGAGTGCTGGGATTACAGGCGTGTACCACCGCCCCTGGCCCATCAGTGATGTTTGAACTGTTATTTAGCACACACACACACACACACACACACACACACACAAAGGAACAACTCTGGTGGAAGTGGGGGCATGGAGCTGGTATCCTACACTCTCAGCATTCCCTGTCCCCACCCGTACTGGCCACAAAAGGATTCCACAACTGCTGGGAATGTGGTTTGAAAACCACTAGACCAAGTAATCCAGGGGATATTCCTCTGTGCTCTAAAATCCTGATTCTCCCTTTCTCTTTTTGGACTAGAAGGAAATCCTTCTTTCTGTGCCAAAAGATACAAAGACTAGGGCTGAAATAATAAGTGTAAAAAAAGTCTTTTTCCTTAATTGGACAATACACAAAGAAGTCAGTCCCATAGAATGCCTCACTTTGACTACTAGTTGGTGGAAAAGTTTCCTTCTCCATATAGAGAAAGGAATTGCTTCTTTTCTAAGAGTAATGACCAGGAACAAGTCAATGAGGGGCTAAGCAACTTTGTGGGGTGCTGTCTCTAGTGCTGATGAACCACATGCCCTAGTAACAACCTCAGCCTTCCAAGGCCTGGCCTCTGTTCTTTTAGGCCCTGAAAATGCCAAAAGATTCCATTCACTGATGGAAATCATTACCAAGTCCTATAAAAGCCAACGTGTAAAATACATGCAGCAAAACTGATGAATTCAAGTGTATGTGTTTGTGTGTGGTCTAGAACCTTAATTGAATTCATGAGAAGCCTTAATTGTGAGCTGTGTTGTAGGCTGTGTGCCAGGCACTTAGGTTAAAATGGTAAACAATCAAATGTGGTCTACACCCTCAAAAGGCCTGCAGTTTACTGGGAGAGAAAAACATTGACCCAGTAATTATGCAAATCATTAGAAACCTAGATTCAAAAGAAAAGAAAAAAGTATATAGAAACCTAGATTCAAATGTTAGAATCAAGATGTACAAGGAGGTGTGAGAGGCCGGGCGCGGTGGCTCACGCTTGTAATCCCAGCACTTTGGGAGGCCGAGGCGGGCGGATCACGAGGTCAGGAGATTGAGACCATTCTGGCTAACACGGTGAAACCCCGTCTCTACTAAAAATACAAAAAAATTAGCCGGGCGTGATGGTGGGCGCCTGTAGTCCCAGCTACTCGGGAGGCTGAGGCAGGAGAATGGCGTGAACCCGGGAGGCGGAGCTTGCAGTGAGCCGAGATTGCGCCACTGCACTCCCGCCTGGGCCACAAAGCAAGACTCCGTCTCAAAAAAAAAAAAAAAAAAAAAAAAAAAGGCGGTGTGAGACTGTGGAACTACTGTAATTGGATTTGATTTCAGGTCTGTCTCAATTCTAACATAAACTCTCCTGCACTCTGGGCAAGTCCTTCCCTTCCTCTGGATGTTAGTATCCTCTTCTGTAAAAATGGTGTCATACCATTTGCTTCTGAGGAAATCTCTCCTATTTGTTGGAATTCAGCCAAGGCAACATCACCTTCATGATGCCTTCCCTGGCTCTCCAGGCTGTTCCGGGGGCTTCTGCTCTGGTCTTCTCGCCACCTGGGTGTACCTGTCTCAGCACATCTCACGTTGCAAGTTTTCTAAGCAAGAAGTAAACGCATCAAGACTTTTATCCCTGTATCCCCAGTGCATTGTGGTGTCTGGCTCGTGTTTGTTGAACGGATGGATGGATGGATGGCAAGTACAATTGTGGTGCAGGTTGTGCTAATATCATTATGAAACCTGAAGGGACAATTTGCTGGCTGATTGTCTCAGCTGGAGTCATGGGACGTGATGAGCATTATTATATAGGTTTTGAAGCCTGAAGATTTCTAGTTCTGATTATTTGTGATGCTTTCTTGGGCGGATGGGCCTCTTTCCGCTTGTTTGTAGCTGCATGCGTAATTACACTACCTTACAGGGCTGTGGAATTTTGAAAACTGCAAAATGTTATTTACAGTCAACTGAACTCAGCAGGAACCTTATCTCTCGGTGGAGGATGGAGGATAGAAGCAGGGGAAGACAATTCCACGGAAACGGTGGTGGGTTGAGCTGGGCCTTTCCAGGGAGATGCAAAGGTATGGGAGTCAGAAAACATTGGTTAGTAACCAATCCCAGTTTAAGCTCTGAACCTCAGTTCTTCTGTTTCCAAAACGGAAATAATAACTTGAGATTTGCGTAAGAGTATGACGTTCAAATGTGCTAATGGATAGGACGGAAGGATTAGGAGTGGTACCCGGGGGCCACTGCCTCGTGCAACGCCCCAGCCCTAGATCAAATCCGGGGCGTGGTCCCACTGTGCTCCCGACCCCAGCCTCGGCAGGAAGCGCCGGCTACGGGGGAAGCCAACCCGGAGACACAGACGGAAGTGGGTGACCGGAGCTCTAGCAGCAGCCGCGATGGGCGCAGCCGTGAGCCTATGGAGAGCGGAGGTGTTCCCGCTTCCACCAATGGAAAGCCGGTCTAGGCGGGCCTTTGCAAATTGCCCTAGTAACGGCCGCATGGTAACTCAGGCGCCGGGCGCACTGTCCTAGCTGCTGGTTTTCCACGCTGGTTTTAGCTCCCGGCGTCTGCAAAATGAAGATTGAGGAGGTGAAGAGCACTACGAAGACGCAGCGCATCGCCTCCCACAGCCACGTGAAAGGGCTGGGGCTGGACGAGAGCGGCTTGGCCAAGCAGGCGGCCTCAGGGCTTGTGGGCCAGGAGAACGCGCGAGAGGTGTGGCCAGTGGACCAGGGAGTTGGGGGCTGCAAGCAGGGCTGCTGCGGCGAGAGAGCTGCTGAAGTCGGTGGCTCGGGGCGGGATGCGCGCGCCAGGGGTCTCCCGCCATTATTTCCTCAGGGAAGTGAAAATGGGCCAGGGGCTCGGGGAGGGGCGCCGCCCTGGAGCTGGGTGAGGGGCCGCCCCAGGATACCTAGTGACGATCCACTGGGGGCAGTTGACGGTTTGCCAACTCATGGACAAGTGCTGATATAAACCCACACAACCCCGTCCCCTTAATTCGTACCAGGCTCTATTCGCGACACTGGGATACAGCGGGAATTAAGATAGGAGCTTACATTTTAGTGTAGTGAGAGACGATAAACGTGTACACCAATAAATAAAAATAATTATCTTATCTTGGTGGGGTTAGTTACTGCAGGGCTTTGTCGGCCACGGTCAGGAAATTGGATTTTATTGTGAATGCAGTGGCAGGCTATGGGACGGTTTAAAGTAGGGAATTGACTAAACTTTAAAAGCTCATTTTGGTTCCCAGGATCCGGGAACTGAGGGAGAGAAGTGGGAATTATGGAGAAGAGCAATCTGGTTTATCCACCCCTCCAAGCATCCTTTTTGACCATTCCAATTAAATCTCCTTTTTCTAAGTGCTGGTGATGCCAAGTACTTTCACATACATATTATTTTTTGGCAGGTGAAAATATTGAGTTGGGGAGAGGGCACTTCACGTATATGCTTGACACTCGTTTTAGTAACGGTAAACCTGGGGTTTGCACCCACGTGTATTTCTGACTCCCAAATCAGTGCTCTATGATGATACAGCCACCCTCTCTGCCTGCTGTTCTCTAAGGTCACAGCCATGCCCCTTGGCCTTTGGAGAGCCTTAGCTTCTACAAAAATCTTCACTTAATATAAAGTTAAGCTACTGCCTCTTAGCCTGATTTTTCTAAATGGAAAGGCCTCAAAGAAAAGCCTCAGGTTTCCATTTTGAGCATCATCTTTCCAAAAAGGAAGTGTTTGACCCTGGCTTACTAAGCAGCTAGTACTGCAAGTAGCTAACATTGGTTGAGTGCTTTCCATGTGCCAAGCACTGTGCTAAGTAGCTATATGTCCACTGCCTTGTCATATCCAACGTATTAGTTGTCCCTTCCCCGCTTTAGTATGACAGTTTTCAGACACAAAAAAAGTTGAAAGACTTGTAAATACTTGTGTGCCTAAATTCTATAATTAACATTTTACTGTGCTGCTTTATCATATATCTTTTCATCTGTCCCTCTCCCAATCCACTTTTACATTTCAAGGTGAATTGCAGGCATCACTACACTTTACCCCTACACCCTTTAACCTGTGTGCCATTGACTAGTATGAACTCTGTTCAAGTGAGGAAATTCTGGTTCATAGAGGTCAAATAAGTAGGTCCAAGGTTACTCATCTGGTAAGTGCGAGAGCCAGTATTTTAACTCAAGTCTATGTATTTAAACCCAGAGTGCATGCTCTATGCCTAAGTGCATGCTCTATGCCTAAGAGTGATGCTGTATGCCTAAGACCCACCTCAGCTACCAGGTTCTTGTGTGACTCTGGTCACATCAGTAACCTCCCTGAAAAATGAGAGTTAGACTAGGTGATCTTTTAAAGACCCTTCCAATTCTTTTTAAATGTTAGAATTCAAGCTTATCTCACCTGAGAGTAGTTGGAGTGGAAATTGAGGGAGAATGGATGGAAGAGGTCCTGGTCTGTAAATAAACGCACATCTCCAAGGTTTGTAAAGTCTCTTCTACCTTGGGTTTCCCAAAGAGCTTCAGTGCTGGGGATTATGATATGACAGGGTTGTGTGGAAAGACCATAGTAGTTTTTTTTTTTTTTTTTTTTTTTTGAGACGAAGTTTTGCTCTTGTTGCCCAGGCTGGAGTGCAATGGCGCGATCTCGGCTCACTGCAACCTCTGCCTCCTGGGTTCAAGCGATTCTCCTGCCTCAGCCTCGTGAGTAGCTGGGATTACAGGCGCCTACCACCACGCTCGGCTAATTTTTGTATATTTAGTAGAGACAGGGTTTCACCATGTTGACCAGGCTGGTCTTGAACTCCTGACCTCAGGTGATCACCTGCCTCGGCCTCCCGAAGTGCTGGGATTACAGGCATGAGCCAACGCGCCTGGCTAGGTTTTTTATCTATTTAGAAATATAGCATCTGGGCCGGGCGTAGTGGCTCACACCTGTAATCCCAGCACTTTGGGAGGCCAAGGCAAGTGGATCACCTGAGGTCAGGAGTTTGAGACCAGCCTGGCCAACATGACGAAACCCTGTCTCTACTAAAAATACAAAAATTAGCCGGGTGTGGTGGTATGCGCCTGTAGTCTCAGTTATTCGTGAGGCTGAGGCAGGAGAATCACTTGAACCTGGGAGGTGGAGGTTGCAGTGAGCTGAGATCGCGCCATTGCGCTCCAGCCCGGGTGACAGCGAGACTCCATCTGAAAGAGAAAAGAAAAGTAGCATCTGAAGAATATCTTCTAGGTTCTATTAAGGGCAGTGTGCTTTGGTAACTGAAGTGGAAATGGGATGGATATAGCATACCCACACACATTGCTTACATCATTTTTTTTTTTTTTGAGAGGGAGTCTCGCTCTGTCGCCCAGGCTGGAGTGCAGTGGCGCCATCTCGGTTCACTGCAAGCTCCGCCTCCTGGGTTCACGCCATTCTTCTGCCTCAGCCTCCCGAGTAGCAGGTGGATTACATGGTCGGGAGATTGAGACCATCCCGGCTAACATGGTGAAACCCCTTCTCTACTAAAAATACAAGAAATTAGCTAGGCATGGTGGCAGGCGCCTGTAGTCCTTACATATTTTTTGAGGGGCTGCCATAAGTGTGGGACCAAGGTACTTCACAGTCCATGAGGAATAGAGGTAGAAGAGATAAGATGTATTCACAAGACTCTGGCACAGTGTGGTCACTGCCCAGAGAGAAGAGCACCTTTTAGATAGTCACGTATTCAGTTATTAAATCAGTGTAGCAAACCTTATATTATGTAATCCTGAGATATAGATGCTCAGCTAGTGTAACTTTCTCAGTGTTCCCCCCTTATAGTCAAATATTCTAAAATATATGAAGTTCCATAGCCCATTTATGGAATATGTGTGTGTATATATACACACATGTGTACTGCAAATGGTTAATAAAATTCAGAGATTTATAATGTATTTAAAATATACTAACAGATGATAAAGTAATTTAACCTTGAGGATTCAAAACATATTCAATGGATCTAATAGTGCCATAGGTTTAACTTCACATTCAGTATTTACAGTGTTCACTGATGGCCAGCTAGTACTCTATGTCATTGATTCTTACCCCTTAATAGGTTACTCTGGGAATTTGATGAAAGCTATGGATCCTTTCTCTGGAAAAAATGTATATATGAACATAAACACAGTTTCGTTCCCAACTTCAAGAGGTATTTGGGCCCCTGGCGTCTATCCCTGTACCCTGGGCCAAAAATCAGTGTTCCCACTTGTACTCATACTGTGCATTCTTCACACAGTAGTAGCTAGCACCATCTTTTAAAAACAAATCATAGCATGACACATAGTCTTCAAGACCTTTTCAGTGGCTTTGTATTATTTATGTAGAATAAAATCCAAACTTTACCACACACTGTAAGTTCCTGTTCTGCGTTCTGGCCGCTGTCTACCTCTTCAACCTCATCTTCCTGGTCTTTTTCGCTATACTTTGGTCACTGCAACCTTTCTGTCCCTTGGATATGCCAAGCTTGTTTCTGCTTTGGATTTTCTGAATTCGCTGTTTTCTTTGCCTGGAACGCTGACTCCTGCTCCTCCCAGAGGTTCACATATCAAATTAAATGTCATCAGAAAGACACTCCAGGATCACTTTCTAGCCACTCGTTCTCTCTCATCATCCCTTTTTCTTCATAGTAGTGATGAAGATTATGTGTGCAATGTTTGTATGTTTGTATCCCTCCCTAAAACATGAGCTCCACAAGTACAAGGCTTTTCTGCCTTGCCTTCGTTACCCTCGGCACCTAGAACAGTGACTGCAGTGCACTGGCACTCAGTGTTAGTTGGATGAGTGTGTGACTTGTGTAGGCCAGGGACTGAGATTTTTCCCCTTGTGAAACATTTTAATATTGATTTATTATTTCTTTCCATTGTGGTGTGTAGGCATGTGGCGTCATAGTAGAATTAATCAAAAGCAAGAAAATGGCTGGAAGAGCTGTCTTGTTGGCAGGACCTCCTGGAACTGGCAAGGTACTCATTTTCTCTCATTTTTTAAATCTACCCAGGAGAATGATCCTAGTGTCTAAGCCAAATTGAATTCATGTCTTAACTAGTCTTTGTTTAGCTAAATGGGTTATATGTATGTTTTTAAAATTAATATGCAATAATACAATTGGGTATCTAAAATCCCTGCTTCTAAAATTCAAATTATCCTGGCCTACCTCCAGAGAAGAAAGAATGAAGTCCTTGAAGGGGTCTCATTGTCTCTAGAATTTGTCCTTTTTCTCTTTCAAGTCTCCTTTGCTGTGGAAATACATTTCTGTTGGCCTAGGGCTTCATAAAGATCTTCTGAGTGACATCTTACTTGAGGGGACAAAAAAATGAGTCAAGCATTCTTCCAAATGCTAGCTTTACGCATCGCTATTGTGGCTGTGTGGGAGATGAAAAAAAGGAAAACAAGAATTAGAGACATGATTTTTATCTTCAAGGGGCTTACAGTCTCTCCAGGGCAGAAAGAAAGGAAATCATGACAGCACAGGAGGACTCAGTATGAGTGCTCAGCTTTGAGGTATTGACTAATATTAAATGCAGCTGGAATTTAAGGAGGCAGCACTGTGGGCTGGTACAGCTGGAAGGGTTGAGACTTGACATTTTCCCTTCAGAGCTGGGAGAGGATTTGGCTTTGCAGGGAAGATAAGGGCCTTTCAGGCAGAGGACACCGTGTGGCTTCTTGGGATTCGTGAGGGGACTGGCCAGATACTTGAAACTCACCAGAGTTCCCAATTTGAGCTTGCTTATTCTTCAAAAGGGCCGCTTGATGTGGGCAAGTAGGAGCTTGGGGTTGTGTGTGAAAAGAAATGGGCTTTAAATTCCAGCTCTAGTATTGACTTGCTATGAGACCTGAGGCAGGTCCCTTAACTTTTCTAAGCAAAAGCATACTCTACCTATTTCAAGCAATTATTAAACTGATCGATTGTAAGATAATGACTTGCATTATAATTTTGAAATGATTACTGATTGTGTATCTTATATTGGTATCTTACAAGAGGAAGAAGTGCTATATTTGTGAACAGTTTTTTCTCTTCCTATATAAAAGCAAATTGTGAACAGTTTTTTAAACTGTAAAGTGCCATACAGATGTGAGCTTCAGTTACCTCTCTCCAGGCAACATTAGCTTGTCCAGTGCATTTACCATTTATTTGCTTGCTATTCCTTATATCTTAGACCTTCTCTTTCCCTCCATTTTTCTTCTTCCTAAAGTAAATAATTTAGAAATTTCTTCTAGAAGTTTGTTGGTGGGAAAGTCTCTCACGTTTGCATTCATTATGTTGCCCTTGTTTTGAAAAAGAGCTATGTTGGCTATATAATTCAGTTGACAGATATTTTCTTCAGTACTGTTTCACAGTACTTCTCTCTCAATGTTATTTGCTCCTTTGGCTTCTGTTGTTTTTGAGAAGTCTAATTTTGAGGGTTTTGAGTCTTCTTTCTGCATGTTTTTGAGATATTTTTGGGTTTGGTGTTTCACTATTATATGTCAGAGTGGATTAATTTTTGTTTATCATGCTTAATGCTAATTGTGCTTCTTGAATCTGAGTATTATGTCTCTGCTCAATTCTGGAAAATTGTCAGCCTTAGGAGAATCGCTTGAACCTGGGAGGCAGAGGTATCAGTGAGCCAAGATCATGCCATTGCACTCTAGCCTGGGTGACAGAGCAAGACTACGTCTCAAAAAAAAAAAAAACAAAAAAACTGTCAGCGTTAATCTCTTCAGCTATTGCCTTTCCCCATTCTCTTTGTTCTTTCCTTCTGGAACTCCACTGAGATGAGGTTAAGATTGCAGTGGTTTTCAACCTGGGGCAGTTTTGCCCTTGCAGGGGACTTTGACAACGTCTGGAGACATTTTTGGTTCTCACGACTTGGTTGGGGGTGCTACTGGCATCTAGTGGGTGGAGGCCAGGGATGCTACTAAACATCCTGTAGTGCACAGAGCAGTTTCCATAATAAGGAATTATCTGGCCACAAACGTCATGGAGTCAAGCTGAGAAACCCTGGGCTAGAGCTTCTCGTTTTGTCCTCTTTGTCTTTTAGCCTCTCATATTTGTTATCTTTTTGACTCTGCTAAATTATGGGTAATTTCTTTTAGATCTTTGTTCCAGTCTAATTGTCTCTTAAGCTATGATTAAGTGACTGATTAATCCAATCTATTGAATATTTTTTTCCTTTTCATTTTGAAAAGTTTGGAACCTACAAAAAACTTGAAAGAATAGTGTGATGAGCCCCTCTATACCCTATACCTAGATAGCCAGTTATAAATATTTTGTGACATTTGCTTTTTCTCTAGTTTATTTCTGAACCACTTGACAGTAAGTTGTAAGGATGTCTTCCTACATGACCACGGTGCCATCATCAGACCCACCTTGCTAATGCTATTATATTCCCCCAATTTTTGTCAATTAAAAATTAAATTAATTAATTTTTAAAAAATGAGCAGCAGAGCCAGGGAGAGAATGGTGTCTCAGGAACCAAGAAAGGAGAACCTTTAAAGAAAGGAGTAGGTAACCATATCCACTGTGGTAGAGAAATCACAAAGATGAGGGAGCCTGGCAGCTCATCATATGATTCCATGAGCAGTTAACAAATGTGCTTTCAAAGACAACGAAGTTAAATTGTTTTAATGAAAAGAAAATATAGGTGATAGAAATCAGAAAACATCTTTCCAAGTTGTTTCAGTTTTTGGCTTTTTAAAAAACACCAGAATATCAAAATGCAATCAAAGATTACACACTGCATAAATTGTTACAAGTTATAATGTCTTTTTTTTTTTTTTTTGAGATGAAGTCTCGCTCTCTTGCCCAGGGTGGAGTACAGTGGCGTGATCTTGGCTCACTGCAATCTCTGCCTCCCAGGTTCAAACGATTCTCCTGCCTCAGCCTCCTGGGTAGCTGGGATTACAGGTGCCTGGCTAATTTTTGTATTTTTAGTGGAGATGGGGTTTCATCATGTTGGTCAGGCTGGTCTCGAACTCCTGACTTTAGGTGATCCACCTGCCTTGGCTTCCCAAAGTGCTGGGATTACAGGCGTGAGCCACTGTGCCTGGCCCCCAGATGTATTTTGTTATGGCCCACCTTTTTTACTCATGTGTGGCCCTTCAAGAGTCCTCTTTTATGTTTTTTTTTTAATTGTAATGTTTTTGTTTGTTTGTTTGTTTTTTGAGACAGTTTCAGTCTGTCGCCCAGGCTGGAGTGCAGTGGTCTGTTACCCAGGCTGGAGTGCAGTGATCTCGGCTCACTGCAGTCTCTACCTCTTGGGTTCAGGTGGTCCTCCCACCTCAGCCTCCTGAGTAGCTGGGACTACAGGTGCACACCACCACGCTTTGGCTAATTTTTGTAGTTTTCGTAGAGATGGGGTATCGCCATTTTGCCCAGGCTGGTCTTGAACTCCTGGGCTCAAGCAATCCACCTGCCTCGGCCTCCCAAAGTGCTGGGATTGCAGGCTTGAGCCACCGTGCCCAGTCCCGGTTTTATTCAGGGGTTTCTATCTTAAGTGCTATACCTTGCTGAGCTTTCCTGTATCTACAGTCTCTGAACTTTCAAGGCAAATAGTTTACTGCTCTGAATGTTATTATTTATTCAATTCTAGGTGTTTTGTAAGAGGAGAGGTTTTCAGTGGACCCAGTGTGCCATATTGCTAGAAGCATATGTCTTTCATTTTTTTTGGTGATATTGTATTGCTTTCCTCCCAGGAAATATGAGAAGTGCTCAGCACTGTGGTATTACCTTATAAGTTTGTCCACTCCCTTCCAATGTGTATGAAGGAATTTGGTGACTTCTGCTTAATGGTTTGCTGCAGGGTCCCAAAGTTTAGGCAACTTACCTGGGTGACAGGCAGAAATACTGCTTATTTTAGAGATGCAAATGCATGGTTCATATGCATTTCCACTCTTGAGGACCTCACACTGTTAATAATGGGTTTGGGTTTTAGAAGAAGGAGATATTCAGATGAGATTGAAAAATAGAGATTTCTTCAACCTTCTTTTGGCAACAACCTCTTTTTTGTGCCACTTGTCACTCACATGGGGTGAGTACAAAAAAAAATGGCTTTGGAGATTGGGGTTTGCATCCTGGTGCTGCTGCTTGCGGTTTTACCTTGGGTGTGTTGGTAACTTTTGAGTTTGTTTCTTAATCTATAAAATACAAACTAGATGATCAAGGTCATAGGCTAGTTGGGGAGATTCGATGAGGTCTATGCAGCACTCTGTAGTAGGTGTAGGAATAGTAGCCATATCATATACTTTCCCTCTGGAAGTCTTTAAATGGAGGAAACGAGACACACATGAAGCTTTTTTTTTTTAACCAAGTATTTATCATATTTTAATGGAAGTATGTTCATCTCTTCTGTATTAGTTAAAGGGAGGGAGAGTGCCATTGAATTGGATGTGGTCACTGTCTTTGAAGTTCAAAACTGAGGGTAGGGAATTGGGGCTGGCAGAGATACAAGGAAGAGAAAGGAGTAACTGGGAAGGGGTGGTCCTGTCCAGCCTGTGGCCCCACGGGGAGTCTGCTGTTAGAGTGCTGCTCCTCTCATTGTGCCCTTTCATGTTCCAGAGATTTTTTTCCTTTGCTCTTAGAAGAATACCAGTTTTCAAGGTGTCAGCCTTGAGCTCACAAGTGCAGATGCCTAATGAGGCAGGCAACGGGGATGAGGGAAGTGGCTGGGTGCACTGTGGCGTGTCTGCCTTGAGCCCCAGGTGCTCGGCCTTGCTGAAGGTCACCATGAGACTGCAGGCCAAACAGAACCAGGCTGTGAGCAACGAGTTTGCCACTTGTGATCTAGCATGGCACTTTAGTACTTTCATTTGACAGATGAGGAAATCGGGCACCTGAGATTTGCTGAGTGCCCAAGGTCACACTGAAAATTAGTGGCAGAACCAGCACTAATCTTTCTGTTCCTGGCTAGTGCATTTTATACTGTGCTATACACTGATTCTCTACCAGATTTTACTACCTCAAAACTATCACCAAAAGGGCATAGAAAAGAAAATCTGAGAGGAACCTTGACTGTTAATTTTAAGACACCGTCTCAGTTTCACTTTGTTCTTCAGTAACAAGCTTGTTTTCAGTCTTAGCCCATATACCTGGGGAGCTGGCCTTACTCGTGCTCCTGTTTCAGAGTTGAGGAAAGATGAAAATGGCATTTAGAGGCCATGGCATTGCCCAGTTCTGTACCAACTTTAAAGCATTTGCTTGCCATACTTGACATTTGACCGTACACCTGTGAAGTCTGGTTCTGTTTAGCATTTGCCAGCTGTAATTATCTTGTCAAAAATCAATTTGTAGTTTACCACAGGGCGTGTTTAAGTGTAACTTGTTAAGACCAACTCATAGCTTCAAAATCCTACTTGAGGTATCCTTCTTCACTCTTTGTGGGCTACATAACATAAAATGAACAATCCATTCATTCATTCCTTCATTATTTCTGATGGGTTGTAGATTGGTGTTTTCCTGTATTTGTAAAAAGAGAAAGCAGGTATCTCAAAGATCCAGTGGTGTATTCGGAGCAATTAGGTCAGAGCCATATATTGATATTGAGAGAACAATTTTGGATGACTGTAAAGTTGGCCCTTCCTATCTGTGGGTTCCACGTATGTGGATTCTGCCAACCACAAATCAAAAATACTCAGGAAAAAAACAATAAAAAATAAAAATACAATAACAAAAATAATACATACTTAAAAATACAATATAATAACTATTTACATAGCATTTATATTAGGTATTGTATGTAATCTAGAGATGATTTAAAGTAACAGGAGGATGTGCATAGGTTATATGCAAATACCCTGCCATTTTATACCAGGACTTGAACATCCATGGATTTTGGTATCCCTGTGGATACTGAAGAGTAGACTCTTCTAATTATGATAACATGATCTTTGGAGTCCTGCTGCCAGAGATTAAATCTGCGCTGCCATTTTCTAGATTATGGTACTTACGTTGCATTACTTAATGTCTCTCAGTTTCTCATGTGTAAAATGGGGAGAATACTAGTGTCTATTTCATAGGCTGGTTGTGAGGATCATGTGAGGCATTTGGAGTTGGGCCTGCACTGGGTAAGTCTGAGTGAATGATAACTTGTAATTATAGGGAAGATAAGAGATGCCATTTATGATTTAAATTGACTGTCCACAAAAGTCATCAAACATTTATTGTGTGAAACATGCTAAATGGTAGGACTAGATGTTCAGCTGTTCCTAGTTCCTGGTGGTTCTGTAGCATGTGTTTCTGAACTGTCATGTTTTCAGGACTGTGAACTGTGTTTCCGTTGCTTTCTTTTGTAGACAGCTCTGGCTCTGGCTATTGCTCAGGAGCTGGGTAGTAAGGTCCCCTTCTGCCCAATGGTGGGGAGTGAAGTTTACTCAACTGAGATCAAGAAGACAGAGGTGCTGATGGAGAACTTCCGCAGGGCCATTGGTAAGTAGTGTCACATTTGTGGGAGGAGTTGGTCTCACTTCCTGAAGCCTGTGCACCGAAGCCTCTTTGTGGTGAAGATGCCTTTATGACTGGTATTCGTGGCACTGCTGTTTTTCTTTTGGCACTTAGTAGTGCATTATTTTTCAAATAAAACAAAACCCCAGTTTTTCTCATTGAAGTGCGTTAGCAATTGGAGCAACTATGGACCCTAGCTGTGAGCCTGCGCTTCTTCATGCAATAAATAGATGTGTCTAAAAGTGTTTTTTTAATGAGTCATATTTTCCTGGAAGTCTTATTTTGCCATTAGAGATGACTATCCACTGAAAAGGTTTTGGACTCAAGCCAGAATCTTTGTGTGCCATGTGGCCAGAATGCCCCTGGTCCTGGATGGCGAGCCAGAAGAGTTGTGGCCTGTCATAGAGTGAGGAGACTGAGGAGTGGGGACTGGCAGAGCTTAGAGGCTTATGGCGCCTAACCCTTAGGGCCTCAGGCTATCATAGTGAGTGCCTGTGATGAGCCAGGCCTTCCCTCCTCTGAGGGGAGATTATCAATCTACATTTCGCATTTGAAGAAGCAGTCTCAGAAGGTTAAATAACTTGCTAGGGACCCAGTTAGTAAGTGGCAGAAGTAGTTTGATCCGACATCTTTCTCATTTCTAGAGCCGTTGCTGTGAAGATTGGCTGTGAGAAGAAAATGGCTTCTCTTTCGAATTTTTGCTTTTTGCTAGCTAGGACTTCTGGGGCAGTTTTTTGGCCCCATTTCTGCTGGCACAGCACTGGGCAAGTCCTAGTTTCCCTCAGATCTGCTTATAGAAATAGCTTATTTCTTTTAACTGTTACATAAAAGTCCAGTTATTAAGCCATTTCTGTTTTTTGAACATTTAGATTTATTCTCAGCTTTTACTCTTAAAAACAAGGCTACTAGGAATATCCTTTTATGTGTCTTTGTGCACATGTGCGAGTATGTTTCTAGGATTTGCCTGCTGAGTCGTGGGTTATGAACACTAGTCAGAGTGCCTGTACCAGTTTCCAGGCTCTTTCATTGTCAAACCAAAGTAAGTATTCTTAAGAAGGAAATTTACCAGAAAACTTCAAGGAAATGATGAAACTTAAAAGACTGATGAAAAAGTTCAGTTTCGGAGTAAGATCAGGTAGGGCCATGGTTAAAGCTTTTGATTTTACATTGAACAAAAGGAGAAGCAGTTAGAAAGTGCTGGTATCCCTGGGCTCTGGTTTTGCTTTTACCAGACCCCTCCGGCTGGGTTGGGAGTGGATAGTAAGGAGGGTGAGGGCAGAGAGGAGTCTGAGCAGGACAAAATAGTGGCTTGGACCAGGGTGGTGGCAGTGGAAGTGCAAAGTGGTTGGATTCTGGGTGTGTTTGCATGGTAGCGCTGACAGGATTTCCTAAAGGGTTAGATGTGGGGCTGAAAGAAAGAGAGGAGTCGAGGAAAATTCCCAGGTTTGGCCATTTTTGGAGATGGGGAAGAATGGGAGGGAGCAGGTTGGGTGTTTACTCAGCGTCTCCTGGGGATACAGTGGTCAGTGCTTATCTTTGTAGACACAGTTCCTGGCACATAGTGGGTGCTCAGGAAAGTTCTTCTGAGTGAGTGAGAGAAGTGGGTAGACTTTGAAGCAGTTAGAAAACAGAAGCCTTTTTTTTTTTTTTTTTGAGAGAGAGTCTCTGTCGCCAGGCTGGAGTGCAGTGGCGTGATCTCAGCTCACTGCAACCTCAGCCTCCTGGGTTCAAGCGATTCTCGTGCCTCAGCCTCCTGAATAGCTGGAATTACAGGCATGCATCACCACACCCAGCTAATTTTTGTATTTTTAGTAGAGATGGGGTTTCACCATGTTGGCCAGGATGGTCTTGATTTCCTGACCTCATGATTCACCTGCCTCGGCCTCCCAGAGTGCTGGGGTTACAGGCATGAGCCACCGTGCCTGGCTCATGCCTGTAATCCCAGAAGTCTTTAGCTAAAAAATATGAAAACAGAAGTCTTTAGCTAAAAAATATGTCTGGGCTATAGACATATGTTGTTTGGTTTATGAAGTATTTTTTATAAATTTGGAGCTAGTTGTCAATATTTAGCAATAGGGAAGTGTCATAAAGTGCTCATTTCTGCCTCCTTGAAGCAGCTTTCCTTCCCACAGCAGGCGGAGCTGAGCGGGTACTTCTGACCAGGTCCCCATAAGCATTGAAGTTTGTGACTGTTTTTCTAAACCAGAGAGATTATGAACTGTGTCCAGAGGCTAAATTTTGTGTTACTTGGAATATATTTATTTTTATTTTATAATTTTAACACTTCCTCAGTGCCACGATTTGAATATTTTTAAAACTGCAAAGTATTTCTGACTGGAAATATATTATTTTTACCATGAAATATTGGATTTTTTGGTGCTTATTTTAATTATTTTATTTTGTTTTAGTGCCATGGTCTCACTCTGTTGCCCAGGCTGGCCTTTAACTCCTGGGCTCAAGTGATTCTTCCACCTCAGCCTCCCAAGTAGCTGGGGCTATAGGTGCACACCATCATGCCTGGGTTTGGTGCCTATTTTATTTAAGTTATCTATTTTTAAAACATTTTTCTCTTTTTAAATTTTTTTTAGAGACAGGGTCTTACTCTGTTGTCCAGGCTAAAGTGCAGTGGTGTAACAATAGCTCGCTGCAGGCTCAACTCCTTGGGCTCAAGAGATCCTCCTGCCCCAGCCTCCCAAGTAGCTAGGACTGCAGGTGTGCATCACCACACCCAGCTAATTTTTTAAAAACTGTATGTAGGCCGAGTGCGGTGGCTCATGCCTGTAATCCCAGCACTTTGGGAGGCCGAGGCCGGTGGATCACCTGAGGTCAGGAGTTCGAGACCAGGCTGGCCAACATGGTGAAACCCCGTCTCTACTAAAAATACAAAAAATTAGCGGGGCATGGTGGCATACGCCTGTAATCCCAGCTACTTGGGAGGCTGAGGCAGGAGAATTGCTTGAACCCGGGAGGTGGAGGTTACAGTGAGTGGCGATTATGCCATTGCACTTCAGCCTGGGTAACAGAGAGACTCTGTCTCAAAAAAAAAAAAAAAAAAAAAAAAAATTTACAGAGAGGCCAGGCCTGATGGCTCATGGTGGTGCCTGTAATCTCAGCACTTTAGGAGGCAAAGGCAGGCAGATTGTTTGAGCCCAGGAGTTCGAGACCAGCCTGGGGAACATGGTGAAACTGTGTCTCTACAAAAAATACAAAAATTAGCTGGGTGTGGTGACGTGTGCCTGTAGTCCCAGCTACTCGGAAGGCTGGGGTGGGAGGATCACCTGAGTAAGTCGAGGCTGCAGTGAGCTGAAATCACACCACTGCACTTCAACACAGGCAACAGTGAGACCCTGTCTCAAAAACAAAATCGGGAGGCTGAGACATGAGAATCGCTTGAGCCCAGGAGTTGGTGGTTGTAGTGAGGTGACATTGCGCCACTGCATTCCAGCTTGGGCTACAGAGTGAGACACCATCTCAAAAAAAAAATTGTTTTTGTAGAGATGGGGTCTCACTATGTTGCCCAGGTGGTCTCGAACTCCTGGCCTCAAGTAATCCTTTTGCCTTGGCCCCACAGAGTGCTGAGATTATAGGAGTGAGCCACTACACCCATCCCAGTGCCAGTTTTAAACAGAGGTATTACAAACTTATAGAGAAGGATGTAAAACATTAATTAATTATGAAGTAAAGGCTTATACCGTCACCACCGAAGGAACAGAGCACGGCCAGCACCTCAGACATGTGTCCCTCCCTGGTCACAACCCCTTCCTCTCCTAGGTGGGACCCACAATGTGCCATAATTGTGTGGGAATGGTTTATGTGATCATCATAACCTTGTACACCCCATGTGTGTATCTTTAAACCATGGGGCTTAATTTTGCCCTTTTTAAAGTTTATCTAAATCATACTTTATGTGTTCCTTGTGTCTTGCTTCTTTAGCTCAGCGTCTATATCTGTAAGGTTCAGCCCATGTGATTACATGCAGTGTACTTTGTGGATTTTTACGTTGTATTTGGAATAGCAGTGGAAATGACTCGCAGGACTCCTTTAAGGTTTAAAATCTTCTGAGTATTTTTTTTTTAAACATGTGCCCATGGTTTTATTTAACTCATAATAAAGATGAGATGAACAGTAAGATGTTACAACTAGTTCAAATGTCTGAGTACTTTTTTTTTTTTTAATTGAGACAAGGTGTCACACTGTCGCCCATGCTGGAGTACGTGGCATGATCTTGGCTCACTGCAATCTGTTTCCTGGGCTGAAATGATCTACCTACCTTGGCCTGCCAAAGTCCTGGGATTACAGGCGTGAACCACCGTGTCTGGTCCCTGAGTATTTTTTTTAAATGTTCTATTTACTTAAAAAATGTTTTTCTGATATTGATAAAATCTGTGAAAACTGGCTTTCACATGGATGTATGTGTTTGCATTGCTTAAAGGTAACTTGAATGCTTTAAAATTCAGAAAAATAGAGATAAGTTCCTTGGCATCTGTTTTGTAATTTGCCATTTTTGAGGGGAGGGGACAGTAGTACCATTCTTTTGATGGCAGCGAGGTGAAAAGAAAATTTCTTGATCCTACCAGAGAATAAAAAGGCAGGCCATTGACTATCTTCAAAAAGGAACCCTGCCCATCTTCCTCTGCCTTTGAATTCTGTGAAGTTGGGAGAGGGGGTGGGGAGGAAGCAATAAGCCGACCAGAAATAAAAAGCAGGGAGTCTGTGCTATTTCCTTGATGTGATGAAGGTCCCTGTCAGGGATATAGAAACCTGAGCCAGCAGATGAAACCTGTGTCATTTGTGTTGTCGTTGCCAGAGATAGCGCCAGCTCAGCCCCTTTCCTGGCTAACAGCCGGTTTCATTGTCCGTCACCCACGTCCCCTGCCAGCTTGTCAGCACAGAGCAACTTCTAAACAAATGTGGGGGCTAGTGAGAGACGGGAATGTCTTTCTTCCCCTCCTTGAGGAATTTCATGCCACATTCATCTAGCAGTAAATATAAGTAAGCATTCCATTTGAAGGAATTTATCGCTGTGGGATATAAAAGGTTTGATTTTAAAAAATCAAAGTTCACTTTAAAAGTACAGGATTTTCCCAGTTTACCACAGTGTTCTGATATATTCGTGTTGTTTGGAGAATTTTTGTCTAAGATTAATGTTCAGGAACTAAGAATTTGGTAAAGCACAAATGAAATGGGTCCTCTCTTTTGGGGCTATTCCAAAACTTCCATTTATAGGCTATCAGATAGAATGAAGGTAGAGTAAAACTTTTCCTTAACTTTAATATCTGAGAGTCTTTGTCCTGACTGGGTTTCTGGGGTAGAGAAGGCAAACAGCCCAATGATAAGATAATGACCACATTTAAAAGTGAGAAGTTACAGAGCGTACCTGACACTATAGGTAGTGTTTCTTAGTGCCATTGGAATATTTCCATATCAGAACGGAGGTAGCTTAATGGTGAGAACACCAAATCCTTATCAAGCCACCCTGCCATCAGAACTAGTTTATGTCTCCACATTTGTGAGTTGAATAGTTTTTCATTTATTCTTTAGATAACTGGATCTCAACTGTGTCTGCACTTTGGAATCATGGGGGGAATATTAAACTAATAGTGATGGCAGGGGCCCATCCCCTAGGATTTGGAAGCAAGTAGTCTGGGTACAGCCAGGGCGTGATTCATTATAGGGGCCCCTCAGGTGGACCTAAAGGTTGAGAACCATGACCATAGGCTCCAGCGGAGATTTAGAGCAGTATTTCGTAAACTTAGGCCATCAGTGGTCTTACTTCACCGGGTCCCACTGGTATTATTTACTTAAAATTTTTTTTTAAAGTAGACTTGGTAATTTTATGCATATGTACAGAAAAGTGTGCAGAACATAAATGCATAGCTTGGTGGATTATTGTAAAGTAAAAACCCGTGAAACCAGCAGCTAATCAAAAAAGGGAATGTTGCCAGAACTCCAAGGTACCCTTGATGTCCACTCCCAGTTGCCATCCTTCCTTCCCCAAGTTAATGGTAGTCTTGATTTCTAACAGTACAGTTCAGTTATGCCTGGCTTTTAGTGCTGAGGTTGAGGGTGTTTCGGTGATACAGGCTATAACATTACATGGCTGACTCCTTAGAGTTCTCAGGCCATTACCATATAGAACATGTAAATGTATCTGCAGGTTCGTTTCTTGGGTATTATTAGTAGATGATGTGCCTAATGACAACCCCTTCACTCTTAGTGACTTCATTCATTCATCCATTCACTCTACCTGCCTATGTGCTGTGCCCTCAGCTCAGGTGTGGGCAATCTGCAGAGGGGTAGGCAAGGTCTGCAAGTTATGGCATTGCCGTGGGCTGCTGCTGTGCCAGTGGAAACACAGGTCACCATGGGGACAATTTGGAGGATGAGGAAGAAGAATGTGTGAAGGGGGGGGGGATACGTTTTAAACTGAGTCTGCTAGGAGGAGTTGCCTAAGCTAAAAAGAGTGGTTCAGGAAGCAGAACCGTTATATGCAAAAGCATGTAATGAACATAGAGATCACGTTCTAAAAGTTAATTTAACAATGATTCTTGGATAATGAACAAACGTTTATTAAAGAGCTAATGTGGATGATGTTTAGAATTCAGAGAGAAATTTACCTTTATTTGCAATATTCTAATGTAAGGTGCTTTGGAAATTGGTTTTGTTGTTATGGCCTTAGAAAAACTGTAGAGCAGCTGGGAATGGTAGCTCACACCTGTAATCCCAGCACTTTGGGAGGCCAAGGTGGGTGGATCACCTGAGGTCAGGAGTTCAAGACCAGTCTGGCCAACATGGTGAAACCTATCTCTACTAAAAGTACAAAAAAACCCCAAAAATTAGCCAGATGTGGTGGTGCACGCCTGTAATCCCAGCTACTTGGGAGGCTGAGGCAGGAGAATCACTTGAACCTGGGAGGCGGAGCTTGCTGTGAGCCAAGTTCGCACCATTGCATTCCAGCCTGGGTGACAGAATGAGATTCTATCTCAAAAAAAAAAAAAAAAAAAAAAGAAAAAGGGAAAGAAAGAAAGAAAGAAAATTGTAGAGCAACACATTGCAAATAATGCATGACAACTGGGTATTTCTTCTTGGAGTATGCAGTGAGAGCCAGAGGCCCATAACACCTGGCAGTTTTGAGTGTCACCCACTGTTGACATAGATACCTAATTATTTTAGTATGTTCTGCTCAGGTTTCATAGTGTCAGAGGGTGTGTAATGAGTTATTCCACTGGTTTTAAGATTTCCTTTGAGAGTCAGAAATTCAGGAAACAAGGCTACAGGAGTTTTGATAGCCACTGTTCTGGTGGAATAGAATAGTGTGGGTTCAGAGACTGGATTAAAGGCTAAAGGTAAATTTCACCCCCTTGGAAATGAAGCAGACAATTTTAAGAATTATAACTTGTCTATCTAGTTCTGGATTTGAACCTAGAAAGTTCCCTTAAAAAGTTGCATTTCTAGGCCGGGTGTGGTGGCTCACACCTATAACCCAGCACTTTGGGAGGCCGAGGAGGGTAGATCATGAGGTCAGGAGATCAAGACCATCCTGGCTAACATGGTGAAACCCTGTCCCTACCAAAAATACAAAAAAATTAGCCGGGCGTGGTGGCGGGCGCCTGTAGTCCCAGCTACTCGGGAGGCTGGAGGCTGAGGCAGGAGAATGGAGTGAACCGGGGAGGCAGAGGTTGCAGTGAGTCGAGATCGTGCCACTGCACTCCAGCCTGGGCAACAGAGCGAGACTCTATCTCAAAAAAAAAAAAAAAAAAAGTTGCATTTCTAATAGTGCCTCTAATTTACATTGATATGTTTGTATTGCCTTTTTACCCATCATGACACCCTGGAATGTACATTATTAAGGTTGATTTGGCAGTTCTGGTGACATGGAAGTTTTGGGCTCTCAGTGTGAGAGAAAAGATTCTGCTTCTCACCATGGCCCCTCTGCCACCTCTTCCAGGGCTGCGAATAAAGGAGACCAAGGAAGTTTATGAAGGTGAAGTCACAGAGCTAACTCCGTGTGAGACAGAGAATCCCATGGGAGGATATGGCAAAACCATTAGCCATGTGATCATAGGACTCAAAACAGCCAAAGGAACCAAACAGTTGAAAGTGAGTACATGTATGTGGCCTCTTTTCCCTTGACTCTCCCAGCACTGTGTGGCTTTGGGCAGGTGGTGTAACCTCTCTGCATCCCAGTTTCCTGACCTGTGCACTGCAGGTATTGATTTCTCACAGAATTGGTTGAGGATATTGTGTGTATAAAGCGGTACCTAGCATAGGGCTTGCACATAGGAGGACTCAAGGAAGATAGCTCTTTTCTTACTTACTCCTAGGAAACTCTGCATGTTAAAATGTGAGCTGTGTGGTTAAGTCAAGAAACTGCCTCTGCCATCCCATGTCCCATATTATGACCATGCATCAAATACCCTGGGCTGGGTCTGAACCTGGGCATTAATTTTTCCAGTTATCAGTGCCCATGCTCATAGAAAGAAACAGCATTGAGTAATCAAATAAGAGTTGTATAAAGATGATGGATGGGCTTCCCAGGGGCCACATGCAGAATCCTGACTGCAGTTGCTTGTGTCAGGAACCTGTGGTCGCTTCAGTGGCTGGTTCTGTTTAGTACAGGGCTTTGTGGAGAGGCCAGAATGGTGACACTGGATAGCGCTCAAAGACAGTCCTCAGCCACCTGTCCTGTAAGTCTTTAGGATGGAGGCAGTAGAGTTTCTAGGGGAAGAGCATGAGTTTTGGAGTCTAAGTCCTTAAGGAATCCCTGGCTTTGTTACTTACAACTGTGTGGCATTAATCTCTGAGTAGTAGTTTCTTTATTTGTTGAATGGGAATAATAATTGCCTGTCTTTCAGGGTTATGGCTTTGGGTGTGGCACCTAGTTACCTAATGAATGATAGCTGTTAATGTTATCGTGAGAGCCTTCACTTGGAGAAATGGAGCAGTCTGGATTTTAGGCTTTGCCTTATTATTATTAATAAATATTATCATTATAGCTCTCATTTATTGTATGTGTCAGGCCTTGGACTAAGTGCTTCAACAAACATTTATTGTCATTCATAACTTTATATGTGTATATGTTTGCGTGTGTGTATGTGTGTATAGTTTTCCTCATGTTAACAGATGAAGGCTCATAAAGAGGTTACATGGTTATCCTGGGATCATCCAGCCAGTCATGTGGCAGAGCTGACCCTCTGAGTCCTAACCGTTGTACTGTCTGCCCACCAGCTTGCTGTGTGACCTTTGGAAGTCAGTTGAGCTCTCTGGGACTCAGTTTTCTCATCTATAAACTGCAGGAGATTGACCATATAATTTCTCCATTTTTATTCTGTTCTACGATTTTATGGTTCTTTGATTCTCTGAGGTTGTTTCTTGGTCACTGCTTTATGGAGATCATAAAAATGTCACTTCTTCAAAGGGCCATTTTTCTTTTTCCTAACAGGGTTTCCATCTCAGGAACTTGCCTCTGCAAATATCTCTTTTATACCTACCCCTCGTCACTTCCATTCTGAATTAATTAGATTTCTCAGTAGCATCTGCCACCTTTCCAGTAATTACATCTTCAGTCAATTCATTTGGGAAATTAACCGATATAAAAATGCTTGAGGCAAAAAAGAAGTATATTCTCCAATGTAGGACAGATAAAATAAGGCGTACAGTTTAAATTTCAGCTATTTGTAACACTGCTTTGTACAGTTTCTTTACAAAAATAATGTAGAGGAGAAGATGAAATTTTTCTTCCAAAATGAATACTTTTAGGTATTTTTAGAATATGTACAAGATATTTGGATAGAAGGTGCTCAAATACTTGGTGGATATTCAAGTCTGAAGGAGTCTTCTGAGTTCTAGCAACGAGAATGCCATTAGTACTCATGACCCCTTCCTGCCAGGCCTTACCTGGGGGCCTCACCCACTTTTGTCCTTAGGCGCACAGACTCACAGCAGTTCTGCCAGGGTCTGCCGTCCCCACCCAGCTAAGGAGAGGCAGAACCCTGGGTTTGCTGCTGTGGTGGTAGTTTTTTAAAAGCTTTATTCAGATAGCATTTTAAATAAAACTCACCCATTTTAAGTATACAATTCCAGGAATTTTAATTTATTTTCACAGTTGTACAATCACCACAATCTTAATTTCAGAACATTTTCATCGCCCCAAAAAGAATCCTCCTACTCATTTACAGTCATTCCCCATTCCAACTATAGCCCTCGGCAACTACTAATCTACTTTCGGTTGCCTTCTTTTGGACATTTCATATAAATGGAACATACAGTGTATGTCTTTTTTTGTATCTGGCTTCTTTCACCAAGTCCTGGGTTTTCACTTTTTAATTTTGTTTGGGCAAAGCCCAAGTTTTTTTTCCACCATAGCTACATTGTATAACATAGATCTCCATGAAGACCTCGAGAAACTTGTGTTTAACTATAGAATCCTTACAAAGGCAGCTGTCCTAGAATATTAATCACTGAGGGTCACCAGAATCTGGAGAAAAGCAACAGTTCCGCAAATCTGCTTATTTCCTTTCCTGGAGATATAAGCAGGCAGACCCAAGGGCACAAACACTGGGATGTGAGTCAAAAGGCTTGGGAAAGATTCTCATTTATGTTTTTCTTTGAATTACTGTATACATCTGTGATTGCACCTGGGTGCTGTTGTATAGATGAGGAAACTTAGAACTGAGAACCTTATCCAAAATCAAAGGCCCTGCAAGATGCCAGCTTTGAGATTGGTAAGCAGGTGCTGGCAGGTACTTCAGTTGTGGAAAGTTCCACCCCACCTGAGGTGAGGCAAATGAAGGAGTGAAGTAGGGATGATGATTTCAAGAGGGGTGATAGGGCCTGTGGTCCTGTGGACAGTGGGGGCTGGGCCCACCCGTCTCACGGCAGCCAGGACCATCCTTATAAAAGCGCTGCTGCCAGTTTACAGCCTTTGGAATCAAGGGAAAGAGGAGAGTACGTGTCCCCTGTGTCCCTCTCATGCTCGTTACATAGGGATGCAGGTATGCTGGCCCCCCTATTTTCTCCCTGGTGTGCTTAGTCCCCCAGCCAGTCTGTTGTGTGGTACTTATGCATTCACACTCCTGCAGGTCCCAGTATTCATGCAAACGCAAAACAGGCTTTCTCCATGCACCTGCTAGCTACCTCAGATCCCTTACGGAAAGGTACCTTACATGGTGTCAGAAGGAAATGGAATATGTATTACACTTCTGATTTACATTTTTTTTTTTAGCTGGACCCCAGCATTTTTGAAAGTTTGCAGAAAGAGCGAGTAGAAGCTGGAGATGTGATTTACATTGAAGCCAACAGTGGGGCCGTGAAGGTAATGCCTTCCTTGGGACACAGCATTGTCCCTGATTTGTTTGCCATGAGAAGACCTAAGTGACAAGGGAGTTGCTTTCTTCAGAGGGTGTGGGGTGTGTGGGGAGGGGCTGGTGTCTGTTATGAGGCTGATGGAAGGTCAACTAGTGGCCCTTTATGTATAATAAAGTTTGCCTTCCCTTTATCTTCATTCTTTAACCTTCTCGCGATTAAAACAGATAGTCTGTTAGAAAAAATACTAAAACCTGTTCAGAGGGGGAGGACAGGGTGAGAAACCAAAACAACTTTAGTCACTTTCAAATTGAAATGTGCAGTGTATTTAATCTTCCTTTTATCTCTTTGGTATTTTCTTCCCAAGATATATGCATGTGGGAAGGAACGCTGCATTCGTTGGCATTCTTTTCTATCTGATTTTCAGGGTCCTGTACAGTGTTCCTCACTGTTTAATGGATGGGCATAATACTTCATATCATACAATAAATCATCCACCTACAAAAGAGTCTGAGCAGCTCCTCTGCCTCCAGTTAATCTACTGGATTTGGCCTTTATCAGGAATTGCATACAGTTAAAAGAAAGAAGGGAAAAAGGATTTTGGGAGAAAGTATCAGGTGTTTTTCAACCCAGTTTTTGGAGCCCAGCGATGAGCAGATAGCTCCCTTCTCTTGGCAGCAGGGGAGTGGGGCATATTTGGAGTTTGTCAAGTAGGCTGTCAGGCCTGCAGTGGGAACTGAGACCTTTATCTCACTTAGCCCTGTGCCATTTGGGGACTTGGCAGTGAAAACTTACCAGGCACTCATGTTTCTCTCTTTTTGCAGAGGCAGGGCAGGTGTGATACCTATGCCACAGAATTCGACCTTGAAGCTGAAGAGTATGTCCCCTTGCCAAAAGGGGATGTGCACAAAAAGAAAGAAATCATCCAAGATGTGACCTTGCATGACTTGGATGTGGCTAATGCGCGGCCCCAGGTACTGCCTCGATGCCTGGGTGATCTGGCACATTAGCCCTTTTGTATGTGTGTGGAGATCTGGGAATGAATTGTCAGAGTCTTGCTGCCTTTCTTGAGGTAGACGGTCCTTTTCTATCTGTAATGTTCAGCAATTAACATCGACATGAGCTACGAGGGACTCCTTTGTTCCCATTCAAATGCTCTAGTCACAGATGATTTCATGTGTATTGTTTCTTATCCCAGCCAAGCCTCTGGCCCTGAGCTAGCCAGCTTCCTCCATGGCTTCACTCCAGCAGTGGGCTCACACCTGGGATTTTCTGGGTGTTAATGGCAGGAGGGCAGGAGTGTTCTATGAGCCCTTTACAGGATTTCAGAAAGCCTAACAAAGCTCTTTCTTTCCCCCTGCTTAGCAAAAGCCACAGTGTTTTAGCTTTGAGCTGGTACTGTTGTCTGCTTCTCATACAGATGGATACTTATGCCTTGGCTAGTAAAGTGCAGGAAAGGATGTTATCACTATATGACATTTCTAGGAAATAGTGAATAGTCACTATTAGGGAATAGTTTGTTTTCTGACTTGAAATTTGATCCGTGGGTGTTTTGTTCCTTGGAGCTTTGGTCAAGAGATTACTGAAGACTCATCTTGGACCAACAGGTCCCCTTGGTTGGTGAAATGGCCATCCCCAAACTGACCTCCTGGGAGCCCTTGACCTGAGAAGAGTGCTGGGCTGGGAGTCAGAAGTCAGGAACTGTGTTGCTCCATCACTGACCAGCTTGGTTAATTTGTCACTTTGGGTCTCTGGGTTTTCTGTGGTTTGGGGTTCGGTTTTGAGTTCCCTCCTACTTGGCAAGGCAGTTTTGAGGACCAGACAGGAAACATTTGCTGCCTTTAGCTATTCAGCATTTAGTGAGCCCTTCTGTGTCTCAGGGCCTGGTAACCAACAGGTGATCACTAAATGCTGAATAAATGACCAAACACCAGCCTCTTCCTCTTGCTGACTGCACTGTTAGGAGCCCGCAGGAGGATGCAGGTGAGTGGTGAACCTGTTATGGAGTCAGCCATGATCAGCTCCAAGTTAAGTAAGGACTAGGCTGATGCAAGC